>NC_000003.12:90568828-90699772 GCF_000001405.40 Homo sapiens | reverse complement strand
TTTGTGCTTTCAAATCACAGAGTTCAACTCACAGAGTTTAATCTTTCTTTTCATAGAGCAGTTTTGAAAAACACTTTTTTAGAATCTGCAAGTGAATATTTGGACTTTTTTTTGTCCTTCGTTGGAAACGGGATTTCTTCATATAAAACTTGACAGAAGGATTGTCAGAAACACCTTTGTGATGTGTGCATTCAACTCACGGAGGTGAACTTTCCCTTCGATAGAGCAGTTTTGAAATAATCTTTTTGTAGAATTTCCAAGTGGATATTTAGAGAGGTTTGAGGCCAGTGGTAGAAAAGGAAATATCTTCATAGAAAAACAAGACAGAATCTTTCTCAGATACTGCTTTGTGATGTGTGCATTCAGGTTACAGAGTTTAACCTTTCTTTTGATAGAGCAGTTTTGAAACACTCTTTTTGTGGAATTTGCAAGTGTATATTTAGAGAGATTTGAGGCCAACGGTAGAAAGCGATATATCTTCACATAAAAACTACAGAGAAGAATTGTCAGAAACTACGATGTGATATTTGCATTCAATTCACAGAATTGAATATTGCTCTTGATAGAGCAGTTTTGAATCAAACTTTTTGTAGAATCTGCAAGTGCATATTTGGACCACTTTGTGGCCTTCCTTTGAAACGTGATTTCTTCATATAAATCTAGACAGAAGAATTCTCAGAAACTTCCTTGTGATGTGTGCTTTCAACTCACAGAGCTGAACCTTCCTTTCGATAGAGAAGTTTTGAATTTCTCTTTTTGTAGAATTTCCAAGTGGATATTTAGCGCCATTTGAGGCCTATGGTAGAAAAGGCAATATCTTCTTAGAAAAACTAGACAGAATGATTCTCAGAAACTACATTGTGCTGTGAGCATTCAACTCACAGACTTTAAACTTTCTTTTGATAGAGCAATTTTGAAACACTCTTTAGATTCTGCAAGTGAATATTAGGACTTTTTTGAGGCCTTCGTTGGAAACAGGATTTCTTCATATAAAAACTATTTTGGATGTGTGAATTCAACTCACAGAGTTGAAACTTCCTTTCGATAGAGCAGTTTTGAAATACTATTTTTGTAGTATTTCCTAGTTGATATTTAGAGCGGTTTGGGGCCTGTGGTAGAAAAGGAAATATCTTCATAGAAAAACTAAACAGAATCATTCTCAGAAACTACTTTGTCATGTGTGCTTTTAGCTTACAGAGTATGACCTGTCTTTTGGTAGAACAGTTTTGAAACACTCTTTTTGTGGAATTTGCAAGTGTATATTTAGATCGCTTTAAGGCCTACGTTAGAAAAGGAAATATCTCCACATAAAAACTATACAGAAACATTATATCTTCATAGAAAAAATTTCAGAATGATTCTCAGAAACTACTTGTTGTTGTGTGAGTTCAACTCACAGAGTTTCATCTTTCTTTTGATAGAAGAGTTTTGAAACACAACTTTTGTAGAATCTGCAAGTGAATATTTCAAATTATTAGGGGCCTTCATTGGAAACGTGATATCTTCATATAAAACTTGACAGAAGAATTCTCAGACACTTCTTTGTGATGTGTGCATTCAACTCCCAGGGTTGAACCTTCCTTTCGATAGAGCAGTTTTGAAATACTCTTTTTGTAAATTTTCCAAGTGGATATTTAAAGTGGTTTGAGGCCTATGGTAGAAAAGGAAATATCTTCAGAGAAAAACTAGACAGAATCATTCTCATAAACTACTTTGTGTTGTGTGCATACAGCTTACATAAGTGCACCTGTGTTTTGATAGACGAGTTTTGAGACTCTGTTTCTGTGGAATTTGCGAGTGTATATTTAGAGCACTTTGAGGGCTACTGTAGAAAAGGAAATATCTTCACATGAAAACCAGATAGAAGCATTGTCAGAAACTACTTTGTAATATTTGCATTCAACTCACAGAGTTGAATATTCCTCTTGATAGAGCAGTTTTAAACACTCTTTTGGTAGAATCTACAAGTGTATATTTGGAACTCTTTGTGGACTTCCTTTGAAACGTGATTTCTTCATGTAAAAGTAGACAGATGAATTCTCAGAAACTTCTTTGTGATTTGTGCTTTCAACTCTCAGATTTGAACCTTCCTTTAGGTACAGCAGTTTTGAAACTCTCTTTTTGTAGAATTTCCAGGTGGATATTGAGCGACGTTTGAGGCCTGTGGTAGGAAAGGAAATATCTTCAAAAAAATTAGACAGAATCACTCTCAGAAACTAGTTTGTGATGTGTGCTTTCAGCTTACAGAGTTTAACCTTTCTTTTGATAGACCAGTTTTGCAACACTCTTTTTGTGGAATTTGGAAGTGTATATTTATAACGCTTTGAGGCATACGGTAGAAAAGGAAATATCTTCACATAAAAACTAGACAGAAGCATTGTCAGAAACTACTTTGTGATATTTGCATTCAACTCACAGAGTTGAACATTCTTCTTAATAGAGCAGTATTGAAACACTCTTTTTGTAGAATCTGTGAGTAGCTATTTGGACCTGTTTGTGGCCTTCCTTTGAAATGTGGTTTCTTCATCCAAAACTAGAGAGAACAATTCTCAGAAACTTCTTTCTGATGTGTGCATTCAACTCACAGAGTTGAAACTACCTTTCGATAGAGCAGTTTGGAAATACTCTTTTTGTAGGATTTCTAAGTGGATATTTAGAGTGGTTTGAGGCGTATGGTAGAAAAGGTAATATCTTCATAAAAAAACTAGACAGAATCATTCTCAGAAACTGCTTTGTGATGTGTGCATTCAGCTTACAGAGTTTAAGCTTTATTTTGATAGAGCAGTTTTGAAACACACTTTTTGTGGAATTTGCAAGTGTTGTTGATTTAGGGTGCTTTGAGGCCTACGGTAGAAAAGGAAGTATCTTCACAAAAAAAATAGACAGAAGCATTGTCAGAATCTACTTTGTGATATTTGCATTCAACTCACAGAGTTGAACGTTCCTCTTGATGGAGCAGTTTTGAAACACTCTTTTTGTTGAATCTGCAAATTAATATTTTTACTTATTTGAGGCCTTCGTTGGAAACGGGTTTTCTTCTTTTAAAACTTGACAGAAGAATTCTCAGAATCTTCTTTCTGATGTGTGCATTTATCTCCCAGAGTTGAACTTTCCTTTCGATAGAGGAGTTTTGAAACTCTCTTTTGTGGAATTTCCAAGTGGATATTTAACGCCTTTTGAGGCCTCTGGTAGAAAAGGCAATATCTTCATAGAAAAACAAGACGGAATGATTCTCAGAAACTATTTTGTTATATTTGCTTTCACCTCACGGAGTTGAACATTCTTCTTGATGATAGAGCAGTTTTGAAACATCCTTTTTGTAGAATCTGCAAATTAATATTTGGACTTTTTTGAGGCCTTCGTTGGAAAGGGGTTTTCTTCATATAAAACATGACATAAGATGTCTCAGGAACTTCTTTGTGATGTGTGCATTCAACTCCCAGAGTTGAACCTTCCTTTCAATGGAGCAGTTTTTAAATACTCTTTTTGAAGTATTTTCAACAGGATATTTTGTGTGGTTTGAGGCCTATGGTAGAAAAGGACACACCTTCGTAGAAAAACAAGACAGAATCATTCTCAGAAACAACATTCAGATGTGTGCATTCAGCTAACAGAGTTTACCCTTTCTTTTGATAGAGCAGTATTGAAACACTCTTTTTATAGAATCTGCAAGTGGATATTTGGACATCTTAGTGGCTTTTGTTTGAAAAGTGATTTCTTCATACGAAATTAGACAGAAGAGTTCTCAGAAACTTGTTTGTGATGTGTGCTTTCAACTCACAGAGATGAGCCTTCCTTTTGATAGAGCAGTTTTCAAACTCTCTTTTTGTAGAATTTCCAAGTGTATATTTAGCGCC
This sequence comes from Homo sapiens, assembly GCF_000001405.40. Taxonomy (NCBI): domain Eukaryota; kingdom Metazoa; phylum Chordata; class Mammalia; order Primates; family Hominidae; genus Homo; species Homo sapiens. The sequence continues at coordinate 90,695,915 of NC_000003.12, read as the reverse complement.
ATTTGAGGCCTATGGTAGAAAAGGCAATATCTTTATAGAAAAACTAGACAGAATGATTCCCAGAAACTACTTTGTGAGGTGTGTGTTCAATTCACAGAGTTTAACCGTTCTTTGGATAGAACAGTTCTGAAACACTCTTTTGTAGAATCCGCAAGTAAATATTTGTACTTTTTTGGGACTTCGTTGGAAATGGAATTTCTTCATATAAAACTAGACAGAAGAACTTTCAGAAACTTCTTTGTGATGTGTGCATTCAACTCACAAAGTTGAAACTTCCTTTCGATAGAGCAGCTTTGTAATAGTCTATTTGTAGTGTTTTCAAGGGGATATTTAGAGCGGTTTGAGGCCTGTGGTAGAAAAGGAAATATCTTGATAGAAAAACTAGACGTAATCAGGGTCAGAAACTAATGTGTGATATGTGAATTCAGCTTACAGAGTTTTACTTTTCTTTTGATAGAGCAGTTCTGAAACACTCTTTTTGTGGAATTTGCAAGTGTATATTTAGTGAGCCTTGAGGCCTACGGTAGAAAAGGAAATATCTTCACATAAAAACTAGACAGAAGCATTGTCAGAAACTGCTTTGTGATATTGTCATTCAACTCACAGAGTTGAACATTCCTCTTGATAGAGCAGTTTTGAAACACTCTTTTTGTAGTATCTGCAAGTGGATATTTGGATTTTTGGGGGTCCTTCTTTGGAAACGGGATTTCTTTTTATGAACCTTGACTGAAGAATTCTCACAAACTTATTTGTGATGTGTGTATTCAACTCACAGAGTTGAAACTTTCTTTCGATAGAGCAGTTTTGAAATACTCTTTTTGTAGGATTTCCAAGTGGATATTTAGAGCGGTTTGGGTCCTGTTGTAGAAAAGGAAATATCTTCATAGAAAAACTAGACCGAATCATTCTCAGAAACTACTTTGTGTTGTGTGCATTCAGGTTACAGAGTTTAAACTTCCTTTTGATACAGCAGTTTTGAAACACTCTTTTTGTGGAATTTGCAATTGTATATTTAGAGCGCTTGAGGCCTACGGTTGAAAAGGAAATATCTTCACATAGAAACTAGACAAAAGCATTGTCAGAAACTACTTTGTGATGTTTGCATTCAACTCAAAGAATTGAACATTCTTCTTGATAGAGCAGTTTTGAAACACTCTTTTTGTAGAATCTGCAAGTGGATAACTGGACCTCTTCGTGGCCATCGTTTGAAACATGATTTCTTCATATAAAACTAGACAGCAGAATTCGCAGAAACTACTTTGTGCTGTGTGCTTTCAACTCACAGATTTGAAACTTCCTTTCGATAGAGCAGTTTTGAAACTCTCTTTTTGTAGAATTTCCAAGTGGATATTCAGCGCTGTTTGAGGCCTATGGTAGAAAAGGCAATATCTTTATACAAAAACTAGACAGAATGATTCTCAGAAACTTCTTTGTGATGTGTGGGTTCAACTCACAGAGTTTAATCTTTCTTTTGATAGAGCAGTTTTGAAACACTCTTTTTGTAGAATCTGCAAGTGAATATTCGGACTTTTTTGAGGCATTCGTTGGAAACGGTATTTCATCATATAAAACTTGACAGAAGAATTGCCAGAAACTTATTTGGGAAGTGTGCGTTCAACTCACGGAGTCGAACCTTCCTTTCGAAAGAGCAGTTTTGAAATACTCTTTTTGTAGAATTTCCAAGTGGTTATTTAGTTTGCTTTGAGGCCTATGGTAGAAAAGGAAATATCTTCATAGAAAAACAAGATAGAATCATTATCAGAAACTACTTTGTTATGTGTGCTGACAGAGTGTCAGCTGACAGAGTTTAACCTTTCTTCTGATAGAGCAGTTTTGAAACACACTTTTTGTGGAATTTCTAAGTGTATATTTAGAGCGCTGTGAGGCCTATGGTAGAAAAGGAAATATCTTCACATAAAAAATAAACAGAATCATAGTCAGAAACAACATTGTGATATTTGCATTCAACTCACAGAGTTGAACATTCCTCTTTATAGAGCAGTTTTGAAACACTGTATTTGTCAAATCTGCAACTGGATATTTGGACCTATTTGTGGCGTTCGTTTGAAACGTGATTTCTTCATATAAAACTGCATAGAAGAAATCTCAGAACCTTCTTTGTGATGTGTGCTTTCATCTCACGTAGTTGAACTTTCCTTTCAACAGAGCAGTTTTGAAAAACTCTTTGTAAAGTTTCCAAGTGTTTATTTAGTGGTGTTTGAGGCCTATGGTAGAAAAGGAAATATCTTCATAGAAAATCTAGACAGAATGATTCTCAGAAACTACTTTGTGATGTGTGCGTTCAGCTCACGGAGTTTAACCTTTCTTTTGATAGAGCAGTTTTGAAACAGTCTTTTTGTAGAATCTGCAAGTGAATATTTGTACTTTTTTGAGGCCTTCGTTGGAAACCGGATTTCTTCATATAAAACTTGACAGAAGAATTCTCAGAAACTTATTTGGGTGGTGTGCATTCAACTCACAGAGTTGAACCTTCCTTTCGATAGAGTAGTTTTGAAATACTCTTTTTGTAGAATTTCCAAGTGGATATTTAGTGTGGTTTGAGGCCTATGAAAGAAAAGGAAATATCTTCATAAAAAACCAGATGGAATCATTATCAGAAACTACATTGTGATGTGTGCATTCAGCTTACAGAACTTAACCTTTCTTTTGATAGAGCAGTTTTGAAACACTGTTTTTGAGGAATATGAAATCGTATTTATTGAGTGCTTAAAGGCCTACAGTAGAAAAGGAAATATCTTCACATAAAAACTAGACAAAAGCATTGTTAGAAACTACTTTGTGATATTTGCATTCAACTCACAGAGTTGAACATTCCTCTTGATAGAGCAGTTTTGAAATACTCATTTGTAGAATCTGCAAGCAGATATTTTGACTTTTTTGAGGCCTTCTTTTCAAACGGGATTTCTTCATATAAAACTTGACAGAAGAATTGTCAGAAACTTACTTGAGAGGTGAGTATTCAACTCACAGATTTGAACCCTCCTTTCGATACAGCAGTTTTGAAATAGTCTTTTTTTAGCATTTAAAGTGGATATTTAGTGCGGTTTGAGGCCTATGGTAGAAAAGGATATGTCTTCAGAGAAAAACAAGATAGAATGATTATCAGAAACTACTTTGTGATGTGTGCATTCAGCTTGCCGAGTTTAACCTTTCTTTTCATAGATCAGTTTTGAAACACTATTTTTCTGGAATTTCCAAGTGTATATTTAGAGCGCGTTGAGGCCTATGGTAGAAAAGGAAATATCTTCACATAAAAACTAGACAGAAGCATTGTCAGAAACTACTTTGTGATATTTGCATTCAACTCACAGAGGTGAACATTCCTCTCATAGAGAAGTTTTGAAACACTCTTTTTGTAGAATCTACAAGTGTATATTTAGACCTCTTTATGGCCTTCGTTTGAAACTTGATTTCTTCATATAAAACTAGAGAGAAGAATTCTAAGAAACTTATTTGTGATGTGTGCTTTCAACTCACAGTGTTGAAGCTTCCTTTCGATAGAGCAGTTTTGAAAGTCTCTTTTTGTAGAATTTCCAAATGTATATTTGCAACACTCTTTTGGTAGAATCTGGTAGTGAATATTTGGACTTTTTGTGGCCTTCGTTGGAAACCGGATTTCTTCTTATGAAACTTGACAGAAGAATTCTCAGAAACTTCTTTGTGATGTGTGCATTCAACTCCCAGATTCGAACCTTCTTTTCGATAGAGCAGTTTTGAAATTATTCTTCTGTAGAATCTGCAATTCAATATTTGGTCTTTTTTAAGGCCTTCGTTGGAAACGAGATTTCTTCATATAAAACCTGACAGAAGAATTCTAAGAAACTTCTTTATTATGTGTGCATTCAACTCACAGAGTTGAACCTTCCTTTCGATAGAGCAGTTTCAAAATACTCTTTTTGTATAATTTCCATGGGTATATTTAGAGTGGTTTGAGGCCTGTGGTAGAAAAGGAAATATCTTCATAGACAAACTAGACAGAATCATTCTCAGAAACTACTTTGTGATGTGTGCATTCAGCTTACTGAGTTTAAACTTTCTTTTGATAGAGCAGTTTTGAAGCAGTCTTTTCTTGGAATTTGCAAATGTATATTTAGAGTGCTTTGAGGCCTACGGTAGAAAAGGAAATATCTTCACATAATAACTAGACAGAAGCGTTGTCAGAAACTACTTTGTGATATTTGCATTTAACTCACAGAGTTGAACATTCCTCTTGATAGAGCAGTTTTGAAACACTCTTTTTGTAGGATCTGCAAGTGGATATTTTGACGTCTTTGTGGCCTTCTTTTGAAAAGTGATTTCTTCATATATAATAGACAGAAGAATTCTCAGTAACTTCTTGGGGATGTGTGCTTTCAACGCAGAGAGTTGAACCTTCTTTTCGACAGAGCTGTTTTGAAACTCTCTTTTAGTAGAATTCCCAAGTGGATATTTAGAGCGGTTTGAGGCCTGTGGTAGAGAAGGGAATATCTTCATAGAAAAACTAGACAGAATCATTCTCAGAAACAACTTTGTGATGTGTGCATTCAGCTTACGTAGTTTAACCTTTCTTTTGATAGAGCAGTTTTGAAACTCTCTTTTTTTGCAATTTGAAAGTGTATATTTAGAGAGCTTCGAGGCCTACAGTAGAAAAGAAAAATCTTCACCTAAAAATTAGACAGAAGCATTGTCAGAAACTATTCTGTGATATTTGCATTGAACTCACGGAAGTGAACTTTCCACTTGATAGAGCAGTTTTGAAACAATCTTATTGTCGAATCTGCAAGTGGATGTTTGGAACTCTTTGTGGCCTTCGTTTGAAACGTGATTTATTCATATTGAAGTAGACAGAAGAATTCTCAGAAACTTCTTTGTGATGTGTGCTTTCAACTTGCAGAATTGAATTTACTTTAGGTAGAGCAGTTTTGAAACTCTCTTTTTGTAGAATTTCCAAGTGGATATTCAGTGCCGTTTGTTGCCTCTGGTATAAAAGGCAATATTTTCATAGAAAAACTAGACAGAATGATTCTCAGAAATTACTTTGTGATGTGTGCATTCAACTCACAGAGTTTAACCTTTCTTTAGATAGAGCAGTTTGGAAACACACTTTTTGTACAATCTGCATTTGAATATTTGGAATTTTTGTGGTCTTTCTAGGGAAACGTGTTTTCTTCATATAAAACGTGGCAGAAGAATTCTCAGAGACTCCTTTGTGATGAGTGCATTCAAATCACAGAGGTGAACATTCCTTTCGATAGAGCAGTTTTGAAATACTCTTTTTGTAGAATTACCAAGTGGATATTTAGAGTGGTTTGAGGCCAGTGGTAGAAAAGGAAATATCTTCATAGAAAAGCTAGGCAGAATCATTCTGAGAAACTGTTTTGTGATGTGTGCATTAAGCTTACAGAGTTTAAACTTTCTTTCCATAGAGCAGATTTGAAACACTGTTTTTGGGGAATTTGCATGTGTATAATTAGTGCACTTTGAGTAATATGATAGAAAAGGAAATATCTTAACATAAAGACTAGACAGAAGCGTTGTCAGAAACTACATTTTGATATTTGCATTGAACTCATAGAGTTGAACATTCCTCTTGGTAGAGCAGTTTTGAAACATTCTTTTTGTAGAATCTGCAAGGGGATATTTGGACCCCTTTGTGGACTTCGTTTGAAACGTGATTTCTTCATATAAATCTAGACAGAAGAATTCTCAGAAACTTCCTTGTGATGTGTGCTTTCAACCCACAGAGCTGAACCTTCCTTTCGATAGAGAAGTTTTGAATTTCTCTTTTTGTAGAATTTCCAAGTGGATATTTAGCACCGTTTGAGGCCTATGTTAAAAAGGCAATATCTTCATAGAAAAAAAATACTGAATGATTCTTAGAATCTACTTTTTGATGTGTGCGCTCAACTCAAAGAGTTTAACCTTTATTTTGATAGAGCAGTTTAGAAACACTGTTTTTGTAGAATCTGCAAGGGAATATTTGGACTTTTTAGAGGCCATCTTTTGATACGTAATTTCTTCATATAAAACTAGACAGAAGAATTCTCAGAAACTTCTTTCTGATGTGTGCTTTCAACTCACAGAATTGAAACTTCCTTTCGATAGAGGAGTTTTGAAACTCTCTTTTTGTAGAATTTTCAAGTGGATATTTAGCGCTGTTTGAGGCCTGTGGTAGAAAAGGCAATATCTTCATAGAAAAAATAGACAGAATGATTCTCAGAAACTACTTTGTGATGTGTGCGTTCAACTCACAGGGTTTAACCTTTCTTTTTATAGAGCAGTTTTGAAACACGCTTTTTGTAGAACCTGCAAGGGAACAATTTGGACTTTTTGAGGCCTTCATTAGAAACAGCATTTCTTCATATAAAACTTGACAGAAGAATTCTCAGAAACTTCTTTGTGATGTGTTCTTTCAACTCACCGTGTTGATCCTTCCTTTTGATAGAGCAGTTTTGAAACTCTCTTTTTGGAGAATTTCCAAGTGTAAAGCTTGGGTCCTTTGAGGTCTTAGGTATAAAAAGCAATATCTTCATAGAAAAACTTGACAGAATGATTCTCAGAAACTACTTTTTGATGTGGGCGTTCATCTGACAGAGATTAATCTTTCCTTTGATAGAGCAGTTTTGAAACTCTCTTTGTAGAATCTGCAAGTGAATATTTGGACTTTTTTGAGGCCTTTGGAAACGGGATTTCTTCATATAAAACCTTACAGAAGAACTCTCAGAAACTCTTTTGTGATGTGTGCATTCACCTCACAGAGTTGAACCTTCCTTTCAATACAGCAGGTTTGAAGTAATCTTTTTGTAGAATTTCGAAGTGGATATTAAGAGCCGTTTGAGGCCTATGGTAGAAAACGTAATATCTTCATAGAAAAATTAGACAGAATCATCCTATGAAACTAGTTTGTGATGTGTGCATTCAGCTAAGGGAGTTTAACCTTTCTTTTCATAGAGCAGTTTTGAAACACTCTTTTGGATAATCTGCAAGTGGATAATTGGACCTCTTTGTGGACTTCGTTTGAAACGTGATTTCTTCATATAAAACTTAACAGAAGAATTCTCAGAAACTTCTTTGTCATGTGTGCTTTCAACTCACAGAGTTGCACCTTCCTTTTGATACAGCAGTTTTGAAACTCTCTTTTTGTAGAATTTCAAAGTGTATATTTAGGGCTGTTTGAGGCCTATGGTAGAAAAGGCAATATCTTGGTAGAAAAACTTGACAGAATGATTCTAAGAAACTTCTTTGTGATGTTTGCGTTCTACTCACAGAGTTTAACCTTTCTTTTGATAGAGTAATTTTGAAACTCCTTTTGGTAGAATCTGCAAGTGAATATTTGGATTTTTGGGGGTCCTTCGTTGGAAACGGGATTTCTTCATATAAAACGTGACAGAAGAATTCTCAGAAACTTCTTTGTGATGTGTGCATTCAACTCACAGAGTTGAACGTTCCTTTCGATAGAACAGTTTTGAAATACTCTTTTTGTAGAAATTCCAAGTGGATATTTAGAGCAGTTTGAGGCCTATGGAAGAAAAGGGAATATCTTCATAGAAAAACTAGAGAGAATCATTCTCAGAAACTACATTGTGGTGTGTGCATTCAGCTTACAGAATTTAACCTTTCTCTTGATAGAGCAGTTTTGAAACACTCTTTTTGTAGACTTTCCTAGTGTATAATTGGAAAGCATTGAGGGCTAGTGTAGAAAAGGAAATATCTTCACATAAAAACTATACAGAAGCATTGTCAGAAACTACTTTGTGATATTTGCATTAAACTGACAGAATTTCCAAGTTGATTTTTATTGCTGTTTGAGGCCTATGGTAGAAAAGGCAATATCTTCATAGAAAAACTAGACAGAGTGATTCTCAGAAACTGGTTTGTGATGTTTACGTTGAGCTCACAGAGTTTAACCTTTCTTTTGATAGAGCACTTTTGACACACTCTATTTGTAGAATCTGCAAGTGAATATTTGGACTTTTATGAGGCCTTCTTTTGAAAGGGAATTACTTCATATAAACCTGACAGAAGAACTCTCAGAATCATCTCTGTGATATGCGCATTCAACTCACAGAATTGAACGTTTCTTTCCATAGTGCAGTTTTGAAATACTCTTTTTGCAGGATTTTCAAGTGGATATTTAGAGCGGTTTGAGGCCCACGGTAGAAAAGGAAATATGTTGATATCAAAAGTAGACAGAATCATTCTCTGAAACTACTTTGTGATGTGTGCCTTTAGTTTAGGGAGTTTAACCTTTCTTTTCATAGAGCAGTTTTGAAACACTCTTTTCGTAGAATTTGCAAGTGTATATTTGGAACGCTTTGAGGTCTAGTGTAGAAAAGGAAATATCTTACCATAAAAACTAGACAGAGGCATTTTCAGAAACTGCTTCGTGATATTTGCCTTCAAATGACAGAATTTCCAAGTGGATTTTTAGTGTCGTTTGAGGACTATGGTAGAAAAGGCAACATCTTCATAGAAAAACTAGACAGAGTGATTCTCAGAAACTACTTGGTGATGTATGCGTTTAATTCAGGGAGTTTAACCTTTCTTTTGACAGAGCGGTTTTTAATCTCTCTTTTTGTGGAATTTGCAAGTGTATATTTGGAGCGCTTTGAGGTCTGCCGTACAGAAGGAATTATCTTCACATTGAAACTAGACAGAAGCATTTTCAGAAACTAGTAGGTGATATTTGCATTCAACTCACAAGGAAGAACATTCCCCTTGATAGAGTAGTTTTGAAAAACTCTTTTTGTAGGATCAGCCATTGAATATTTTGACGTTTGTGGGGCTTTAATTTGAAACGTGGTTTCTTCATATAAAACGTGACAGAAAAATTCTCAGAAACTACTTTGTGATGTGTGCATTCAACTCAGAGAGTTCAACCTACCTTTCGATAGAGCAGTTTTGAAATACTTTTTTTGTAGAATTTCCAAATGGATATTTAGAGCGGTTTGAGATCTGTAGTAGAAAAGAAAATATCTTCATATAAAAATTAGACAGAATCATGGTCAGAAACTACTTGGTGATGTGTGCATTCAGCTAACAGAGTTTACCCTTTCTTTTGATAGAGCAGTTTTGAAACAGTTTTTTCAGGAATTTGCAGTTGTATATTTAGAGCGCTTTGAGTCCTACAGTAGAAAAGGAAATATCTTCACATAAAAACAAGACAGAAGCATTGTCAGAAACTATTTGGTGATATTTGCATTCAACTCACAAAGTTGAACATTCCTCTTGATAGTGCAGCTTTGAAACACTCTTTGTGTAGAATCTGCAAATGGATATTTGGACCTCTTTGTGGCCTTCGTTTGAAACGATGTTTCTTCATATAAAACTAGACAGAAGAATTCTCAGAAACTTCTTTGTGATGTGTGCTTTCAACACACAGAGTTGAAACTTCCTTTCGATAGAGCAGTTTTGAAACTCTCTTTTTGTAGTATTTCCAAGTGGATATGTAGCGCCGTTTGAGGCCTATGGTAGAAAAGGCAATATCTTCATAGAAAAACTAGACAGAATGATTCTCAGAAACTACTTTGTGATGTGTGCATTCAACTCACAGAATTTAACGTTTCTTTTGATAGAGCAGTTTTGAAACACTCTTTTTGTAGAATCTGCAAGTGACTATTTGGACTTTTTGGGAGTCTTCGTTGGAAACCGGATTTCTTCATATAAAGCTTGACAGATGAATTCTCAGAAACTTCCTTGTGATGTGTGCATTCAACTCACAGAGTTGAACCTGCCTTTCGATTCAGCAGTTTTGAAATACTCTTTTTGTATAATTTCCAAGTGGATATTTACAGCTGTTTGAGGCCTGTGGTACAAAAGGAAATATCTTCATAGAAAAAGTAGACAGAATCATTCTCAGAAACTACTTTGTGATATGTGCATTCAGCTTACAGAGTTTAACGTTTATTTTGATAGAGCAGATTTGAAACACTTTTTTTTTGCAATTCGCAAGTGTATATTTAGAGCGGTTTGAGACCTACGGTAGAAAAGGAAATATCTTCACATAAAAACTAGACAGAAGCATTGTCAGAAATTAATTTGTGATATTTGCACTCAACTCACAGAATTGAACATTCCTCTTGATAGAGCAGTTTTGAAACACTATTTTTGTGGAATCTGTGAGTGGACATGCAGACGTCTTTGTGGCCTTCGTTTGAAACGAGATTTCATCATATAAAACTAGACAGAAGAATTCTCAGAAGCTCCCTTGTGATGTGTGCTTTCAACTCACAGAGTTGAACCTTCCTTTCGATAGAGCAGTTTTAAACTCTCTTTTTGTAGAATTTCCAAGTGGATATTTAGCGCCGTTTGAAGCCTATAATAGAAAAGGCGATATCTTCATAGAAAAACAAGACAGAATGATTCTCAGAAACGACTTTGTGTGGTGTCCGTTCAACTCACAGAGTGTAACCTTTCTTTTGATAGAGCGGTTTTGAAACTCTCTTTTTGTAGAATCTGCAGGTGGATATTTCAAACTGTTTGTGGCCATCGTTCGTAATGTGATTTCTTCATTTAAAACTAGACAGAAGAATTCTCAGAAACATCTTTGTGATGTCTGCTTTCAACTCACAGAGTTGAAACTGCCTTTTGATAGAGCAGTTTTGAAACTCTCTTTTTTTTAGAATTTTCAAATGGATATTTGGCGCCCTTTGAGGCCTATTGTAAAAAAGGCATTACCTTTTGTAGTATCTCCAAGTGAATATTTGGACTTTTTGATGCCTTAGTTGGAAACGGAATTTCTTCAAATAAAAATTGACAGAAGAATTCTCAGAAACTTCCATGTGATGTGTGCTTTCAACTCACAGAGTTGAACCTTCCTATCGATAGAGCGGTTTTGAAACTCTCTTTTTATAGAATTTCCAAGTGGATATTTAGCTCCTTTTGAGGCCTATGGTAGAACAGGTAATATCTTCATAGGAAAACTAGACAGAATGATTCTCAGAAATTACTTTGTGGTGTGTGTGTTAAATTCAAAGAGTTTAACCTTTCTTTTGATAGAGCAGTTTTGAAACACTCTTTTTGTAGAATCTGCAAGTGAATATTTGGACTTTTTTGAAGCTTTCTTTGGAAACAGGATTTCTTCATATAAAATTTGACATTAGAATTCTCAGAAAATTCTTTGTGATATGTGCATACAACTCACTGATTTGAACCTTCCTTTCGATAAAGCAGTTTTGAAATTCTCTTTTTGTAGAATTTTCAGGTGGCATTTAGAGCCGTTTGAGGCCTAAGGTAGAAAAGGCAATATCTTCATAGAAAAACTAGACAGAATGATTCTCAGAAACTACTTTGTGGTGTGTGCGTTCAACTCACAGAGTTTAACCTTTCTTTGGATAGAGCAGTTTTGAAACACTCTTTTTGTAGGATCTGCAAGTGAATATTTGAACTTTTTTGAGGCCTTCGTTGGAAATTGGATTTCTTCATATAAAACTTGACAGAAGAACTCTCAGAAACTTCTCTGTGATGTGTGCTTTCAACTCACAGAGTTGAATCTTCCTTTCGATAGGGCAGTTTTGAAATTCTCTTTTTGTAGAATTTCCAACTGGATATTTAGAGCGGTTTGAGGCCTATGCTAGAAAAGGAAATAGTTTCATAGAAAAACTAGACAGAATCATTCTCAGAAACTATTTTTGATGTGTGCATTCAGCTTACAGAAGTTAGCCTTCCTTTTCATAGAGCAGTTTTGAAACAATCTTTTGGGGAATGCGCAAGTGTATATATTGAGCGCTTTGAGGCCTACCGTATAAAAGGAAATATCTTCACATAAAAACTAGACAGAAGCATTGTCAGAAACTACTTTATGATATTTGCATTCAATTTACAGAGTTGAACATTCCTCTTGATAGAGCAGTTTTGAAACACTCTTTTTGTAGAATCTCCAGGTGGATATTTGGACCTCTTTGTGGCCTTCGTTTGAAACGTGATTTCTTCTTATAAAACGATACAGAAGAAGTCTCAGAAACATATTTGTGATGTATGCTTTCAACTCACATAGTTGAACCTTCCTTTCGACAGGGCAGTTTTGAAACTCTCTTTTTGTAGAATTTCCAAGTGGATATTCAGCGCCGTTTGAGGCCTATGGTTTAAAAGCAAATAACTTCATAGAAAAACTAGACAGAATTATTCTCAGAATCTACTTTGTGATGTGTGCGTTCAAGTCACAGAGTTTAACCTTTCTTTTGATAGAGTAGCTTTGAAACACTCTTTTTGCCGAATTTACAAGTGAATATTTGGACTTTTTTTAGGCCTTCTTTGGAAACGGGATTTCTTCATATAAACTTGACAGAAGAATTCTCAGAAAATTCTTTGTGAAATGTGCATTCAACTCAAATGTTTGAACCTTCCTTTCTATAGAACAGTTTTGAAATTCTCTTCTTTTAGTATTTCCAAGTGGATATTTAGAGCTGTTTGGGGCCTATGGTAGAAAAGGAAATATCTTCATAGAAAAACTAGACAGAATCATTCTCAGAAACTACTTTGTGAAGTTTGCATTCAGCTTACAGAGTTTAACCTTTCTTTTGATAGAGCAGTTTTGAAACACTCTTTTTGTGGAATTTGCAAGTGTATATTTAGAGCGCTTTGAGGCATACGGTAGAAAAGGATATATCCTCACATAAAAATTAGACAGAAGAATTGTCAAAAAATAATTTGTATCTTTGCATTCAACTCACGGAGTTGAACATTCCTCTTTATAGAGCAGTTTTGAAACACTCTTTATGTATTATCTGCAAGTGGATATTTGGACTTCTTTGTGGCCTTCTTTTGAAACGTGATTTCTTCATATAAAACTAGGCAGAAGAATTCTCAGAAACTTCTTTGAGATGTGTGCTTTCAACTCACAATGTTAAACCTTCCTTTCGATAGAGCAGTTTTGTAACTCTCTTTTTGTAGAATTTCCAAGAGGATATTTAGCGCCTTTTGATGCCTATGGTAGAAAAGGCAATATATTCACAGAAAAATTAGACAGAATGATTCTCAGAAACTGCTTTGTGATGTGTGTGTTCAACTCCCAGTGTTTAACTTTTCTTTTGATAGAGCAGTTTTGAAACACTCTTTTTGTAGAATCTGCAAGTGAATATTTGGACTTTTTTGAGGCCTTTTTGGAAAGGGGATTTCTTCATATAAAACGTGACAGAAGAATTCTCAGAAACTACTTAGTGATATGTCAATTTAACTCACAGAGTTGAACCTTCCTTTCGATAGAGCAGTTTCAAAATACTCTTTTTGTAGGATTTCCAAGTAGAAATTTAGAGCTGGTTGAGACCTGTGGTAGAAAAGGGAATATCTTCATAGAAAAACTAGAGAGAATCATTCTCAGAAATTAATTTGTGATGTGTGCATTTAGCTTACAAAGTTTAACCTTCCTTTTTATAGAGCATTTTTGAAAAACTCTTCTTGTAGAATTTCAATGTGGATATGTAGCGCCGTTTGAGGTCTATGGTAGAAAAGGCAATATCTTCATAGAAAAACTAGACAGAATGATTCTCAGAAACTGCTTCGTGATGTGTGCGTTCAACTCACAGAGATTAACACTTCTTTTGATATAGCAGTTTTGAAACACTCTTTTTGTGGAATTTGCAAGTGTATATTTAGAGCGCTTTGAGAGTCATATTCAGCTTTCAGAGTTTAACCAATCTTTTGATACAGCAGTGCTGAAACTCTCTTTTTGTGGAATTTTCAAGTGTATATTTAGAGTACTTTGAGGCCAACGATAGAAAAGGAAATATCTTCACATAATAAGTAGACAGAAGCATTGTCAGAAAGTACTTTGTGATATTTGCATTCAACTCACAGAGTTGAACACTCCTCTTCATGGAGCAGTTTTGAAACACTCTTTTTGTAAAATCTGCAAGTGGATATTTGGACCTCTTTGTGGCGTTCGTTTGAAAAGTGATTTCCTCATATAAAACTAGACAGAACAATTCTTAGAAACTTCTTTGAGATGTGTGCATTCAACTCACAGAGCTGAACTTTCCTTTCGATACAGCAGTTTTGAAATACTCTTTTGTAGTATTTCCAAACGGATATTTTTAACGTCGTTTGAGGCCTATGGTAGAAAAGGAAATATCCTCTTAGAAAAACTAGACAGAATGATTCTCAGAAACTACTTTGTGATGTGTGCTTTTAACTCACAAAGTTTAACCTTCCTTTTGATAGAGCAGTTTTGAAACACTTTTTGTAGAATCTGCAAGTGAATATTTGGAATTTTTTCAGGCCTTCGTTGGAAACGGGATTTCTTCATATAAAACTTGTCAGAAGAATTCTAAGAAACTTCTTTTTCATGTGTGCATTCAACTAACAGATTTGAACCTTCCTTTTGATAGAGCAGTTTGAAACACTCTTTTTTTAGAAACTGCAAGTTGATATTGGGACCTCTTTGTGGTCTTCGTTTGAAACGCGAATTCTTCACATAAAACTAGACGGAAGAATTCTCAGAAAATTCTTTGTAATGTGTGCTTTCAAGTCACAGAGTTGAACCTTCCTTTCAATCGAGCAGTTTGAAACTCTATTTTTGTAGAGTTTCCAAGTGGATATTAAACGTCGTTTGAGGCCTACAGTAGAAAAGGCAATATCTTCATAAATAACTAGACAGAATGATTCTCAGAAAGTACTTTGTGATGTGTGTGTTCAACTCACAGAGTTTAACCTTTGTTTTGATAGCGCAGTTTTAAAACACTCTTTTTGTAGAATCTGCAAGGGAATATCTGGACTTTCTTGAGGTCTTCGTTGGAAATGGGATTTCTTTATATAAAACTTGACAGAAGAATTCTCAGAAACTTCTTTGTGATGTGTGCATTCAACTGAGAGAGTTGAACCTTCCTTTCGATACAGCAGTTCTGAAATACTCTTTTTGTACTATTTCCAAGTGGATATTTAGCACAGTTTGAGGCCTATGGCAGAAAAGGAAATATCTTCACAGTAAAACTAGACAGAATGATTATCAGAAACTACTTTGTGAGGTGAGTGTTCAACTCACAGAGTTTAACCTTTCCTTTGACAGAGCAGTTTTGAAACACTCTTTTTGTAGAATCGGCCAGCGGATATTTGAACCTCTTTGCGGCCTTCGTTTTAAATGTGATTTCTTCATATAAATCTAGACAGAAGAATTCTCAGAAACTTCTTCGTGATGTGTTCTTTCAACTCAACGAGTTGAACCTTCCTTTGGATGGAGCAGTTTTGAAACTCTCTTTTTGTAGAATTTCCAAGAGTATATTTAGCGACGTTTGAGGCCTATGGTAGAAAAGGAAATACCTTCGTAGAAAAACTAGACAGAATGATTCCCAGAAACTACATTGTGATGTGTGGATTAAACTCACAGAGTTTAACCTTTATTTTGATTGAGCAGTTTTCAAACACCCTTTTTATATAATGGGCAGGTGAGTATTTGGCCTTTTTTGGGGCCTTCGTAGGAAACGGGATTTCTTCCATTATAACTTGACAGAAGAATTATCAGAAACTTCGTTGTGATGTGTGCATTCAACTCACAGAGTTAAACCTTCTTTCGATAGAGCAGTTTTGAAATACTCTTTTTTTAGAATTTCCAGGTTGATATTTAGAGTGGTTTGAGGCCTTTGGTATAAAAGGACATATCTTCATAGAAAAACAAGACAGAATAATTCTCTGAAACAACGTTGTAATGTGTGAATTCAGCTTACAGAGTTTAACCTTTCTTTTGATAGAGCAGTTTTGAAACACGGTTTTTGTAGAATCTGCAAGTGAATATTTGGACTTTTTTGTGGCCTTCGTTGGAAATGGGATCTCTTCATATAAAACTTGACAGAATAATTCTCAGAAACTTCTTTGTGATGTGTGCATTCAACTCAAAGTGTTGAACCTTCCTTTCGATAGAGCAGTCTTGAAATACTCTTTTTGTAGAATTTCCCAGTGGATATTTACAGTGGTTTGAGGTCGGTGGTAGAAAAGGAAATATCTTCATAGAAAAACTAAACAAAATCATTCTCAGAAACTACTTTGTGATGTGTGCATTCAGCTTACAGAGTTTAAAATTTCTTCTGATAGAGAAATTTTGAAACAAACTTTTTGTGGTATTTGCGGTTGTATATTTAGAGCGCTTTGAGGCCTACTGTAGAAAAGGAAATATCTTCACATAAAAACTATACAGAAGCATTTTTGGAAACTGATTTGTGATATTTGCATTCAACTCACAGAGTTGTAAATTACTCTTGATAGAGCAGTTTTGAAACACTCTTTTTGTAGAAGCTGAGAGAGTGTATTTGGACCTCTTTCTGGCCTTCGTTTGAAACGTGATTTCTTAATATAAAAGTAGAGAGAAAAATTCTCAGAAACTTCTTTGTGATATGTGCTTTCAACTCACAGAATTGAACCTTCCTTTTGATAGAGGATTTTTGAAACTCTCTCTTTGTTGAATTTCCAAGGGGATATTTAGCGCCGTTTGAGGCCTATTGTAGAAAAGGCAATATCTTCATAGAAAACAGACAGAATGATTCTCAGAAACTACTTTGTGATGTGTGTGTTCAACTCACAGAGTTTAACCTTTCTTTTGATAGAGCAGTTTTGAAACACACTTTTTGCAGAATCTGCAAGTGAATATTTGCAATTTTGGGAGGCCTTCTTTGGAAACGAGATTTCTTCATATAAAACGTGACAGAATAATTCTCAGAAACTTCTTTGTGATGTGTGCGTTCAGCTTACAGAGTTTAACATTTCTTTAGATGAGCAGTTTTGTAACACTCTTTTTGCAGAACTTGCAAGTGTAAATTTAGAGCGCTTTGAGGCCTACAGAATATTAAATATCTTCATAGAAAAACTAGACAGAATCATTCTCAGAAACTACTTTATGCTGTGTGGGTTAAACTCACAGAGTTCAATATTTCTTTTGATAGATAAGTTTTGAAACAGTCTTTTTATAGAATCTGCAAGTGAATATTTGGACATTTTGAAGCCTTCCTTGGAAACGGAATTTCTTCATGTAAATCTTGACAGAAGAATTCTCAGAAACTTCTTCGTGATGTGTGCATTTAACTCACAGAGTTGAACCTTCCTTTTGATAGAGCAGTTGTGAAATACTCTTTTTGTAGAATTTCCAAGGGTCTATTTAGAGCAGTGTGTGGCCAGTGGTAGAAAACGAAATATCTTCCTAGAAAAACTATACAGAATCATTCTCAGAAATTACTTTGTGATGTGTGCATTCAGCTTACGGAGTTTAACTTTTCTTTTGACAGAGCAGTTTTGTAAAACTCTTTTTGTAGAATTTGCAAGTGCATATTTAGAGCGCTTTGAGTCCTGAGGTAGAAAAGGAAATATCTTCACCTAAAAACTAGACAGAAAAAATGTCAGAAAGTACTTTGTGATATTTGCATTCAACTCACGAGTTGAACATTCCTCTTGATAGAGCAGTTTTGAAACACTCTTTTTGTAGAAGCTGAGAGAGGGTATTTGGACCTCTTTCTGGCCTTCGTTTGAAACGTGATTTCTTCATATAAAACTAGACAGAAGAATTCTCAGAAACTTCTTTGTGATGTGTGCTTTCAAATCACAGAGTTAAACCCTCCTTTCGTAGAGCAGTTTTGAAACTCTCCTTTTGTAGTATTTCCACGTGGATATTTAGCGTCATTTGAGGCATATTGTAGAACAGGAAATATCCTCATTGAAAAGCTAGACAGAATGATTCTCAGAAACTTCTTTGTGATGTGTGCGTTCAACTCACAGACTTTAACCTTTCTTTTGGTACAGCAGTATTGAAACAGTCTTTTTGTAGAATCTGCAAGTGAATATTTGGACCTTTTTGAGGCCTTCATTGGAAACGGGATTTCTTCATATAAAATATGACAGAAGAATTCTCAGAAACTTCTTTGTGATTTGTGCATTCAACTCACAGTTTTGAACCTTCCTTTCAATAGAGCAGTTCTGAAATACTCTTTTTGTAGAATTTCCAAGTGGATATTTAGAGCGGTTTGAGGCCTGTGGTAGAAAAGGAAATATCTTCATAGAAAAACTATACAGAATCATTCTCAGAAACTACTTTGAGATGTGTTAATTAAGCTTACAGAGTTTAAAATTTCTTTTGATAGAGCAGTTTTGAAACAGTCTTTTTGTGGAGTTTGCAAATGTTTATTTAGAGCACTTTGAGGCATACCGAAGAAAAGGAAATATCTTCACATAAAAACTAGATAGAAGCATTGTCAGGAACTTCATTGTGATATTTGCATTCAACTCACATAGTTGAACATTCCTCTTGATAGAGCATTTGTGAAACACTCTTTTTGTAGAATCTGCAATTGTATATTTGTACCTCCTTGTGGCCTTCGTTTGAAAAGTGATATCTTCATATAAAAGTAGACGGAAGAATTCTCAGAAACTTCTTTGTGATGTGTGCTTTCAAATCACAGAGTTCAACCTTCCTTTCGTAGAGCAGTTTTGAAACCCTCCTTTTGTAGTATTTCCAAGTGGATATTTAGCGCCGTTTGAGGCTTATGTTAGAACAGGTAATATCTTCACTGAAAAACTAGACAGAATGATTCTCAGAAACTTCTTTGTGATATGTGCGTTCAACTCACAGACTTTAACCTTTCTTTTGGTAGAGCAGTATTGAAACAGTCTTTGTGTATAATCCGCAAGTGAATATTTGGACTTTTTTGAGGCCTTCGTTGGAAACGGTATTTCTTCATATAAAATTTGACAGAAGAATTCTCAGAAACTTCTTTCTGATGTGTGCATTCAAGTCACAGAGTTCAACCTTCCTTTCGATAGAATGGTTGCGAAATACTCTTTTGGTAGAATTTCCAAGTGGATATTTAGAGCGGTTTGAGGCCAGCGGTAGAAAAGGAAATATCTTCATAGAAAAACTGGACAGAATCATTCTCAGAAACTTCTTTCTGATGTGTGCATTCAAGTCACAGAGTTCAACCTTCCTTTCGATAGAATGGTTGCGAAATACTCTTTTGGTAGAATTTCCAAGTGGATATTTAGAGCGGTTTGAGGCCAGCGGTAGAAAAGGAAATATCTTCATAGAAAAACTGGACAGAATCATTCTCAGAAACTACTTTGTGATGTGTGCGTTCAGCTTACAGAGTTTAACATTTCTTTAGATGAGCAGTTTTGTAACACTCTTTTTGCAGAATCTGCAAGTGGATATTTGGACCTCTTTGTGGCCTTCGTTTGAAACATGATTTTTTCATATAAAACTAGACAGAAGAATAATGAGAAACTTCTTTGTGACGTGTGCTTTCAACTCACAGAGTTGAACCTTCCTTTCGATAGAGCAGCTTTGAAACTCTCTTTTTGTACAATTTCCAAGTGGATATAAAGAGTCCTTTGATGCCTGTGGTATAAAATTAAATTTCTTCGTAGAAAAATTTGACAGAATGATTCTCAGAAACTACTTTGTGGTGTGTGCGTTGAACTCACAGAGTTTAACCTTTCTTTTGATAGAGCAATTTTGAAACACTCTTTTTGTAGAATCTGCAAGTGAATAGTTGGGATTTTGGGGGGCCTTCGTTGCAAACGTGATTTCTTCATATAAAACGTGACAGAAGAATTCTCAGAAACTTCTTTGTGTTGTGTGCATTCAACTCATGGAATTGAACCTTCCTTTCGATAGAGCAGTTTTGAAATAATCTTCTTGTGGAATTTCCAAGTGGATATTTAGAGCAGTTTGAAGCTTGTGGAAGGAAAGGAGATATCTTTTTTTCAAAAACGAGACAGAATCATTCTATGAAACTTCTTTGTGATGTGTGCATTCAGCTTACAGAGTTTACCCTTTCTTTTGATAGAGCAGCTTTGAAACACTTTTTTTGTTGTATTTGCCTGTGTATATTTAAAGAGCTTTGAGGCCTAGGGAAGAAAAAGAAGTATCTTCACATAAAAACTAGGAAGAAGCATTGTCAGAAACTACTTTATGATATTTGCATTCAACTCACAGAGTTGAACATTCCTCTTGATAGAGCAGTTTTGAAACACTCTTTTTGTATAATCTATGAGAGGGTATTTGGACCTCTTTGTGGCCTTCGTTTGAAACGTGATTTCTTCATATAAAACTAGACAGAATAATTCTCAGAAACTTCTTTGTGAAGTGTGCTTTCAACTCACAGAGTTGAACCTTCCCTTCAATAGAGGAGTTTTGAGACTCTCTTTTTGTAGTATTTCCAAGTGGATATTTAGCGCCGTTTGAGGCCTATGTTAGTAAAGGCAATATGTTCATAGAAAAATTAGACAGAATAATTCTCAGAAACTACTTTGTGATGTCTGCGTTCAACTCACAGAGTTTAACCTTTCTTTTGATAGAGCAGTTTTGAAACAATGTTTTTGTAGAATCTGCCAGTGAATATTCAGACTTTTTTGGGGACTTTATTGGAAACGGGACATCTTCCTATAAATAATGACTGAAGAACTCTCAGAACCTTCTTTGTGATGTGTGCATTCAAACCACAGTGTTGAACCTTCCTTTCGATAGAGCAGTTTTCAAATACTCTTTTTGTAGAATGTCTATGTGGATATTCAAAGCGGTTTGAGGCCTATGGTAGAAAAGGAAATATCTTCATAGAAAAACTAGTCCGATTCATTGTCACAAACTGCTTTGTGGTGTGTGCACTCAGCTTACGGAGTTTAACCTTTCCTTTGATAGAGCAGTTTTGAAAAACTCTTTTTGTGGAATTTGCAACTGTATATTTAGAGCGCTTTGAGGCCTACTTTAGAAAAGGAAATACCTTCATATAAATGATAGAAAGAAGCATTGTCAGAAACTACTTTGTGATATTTGCATTCAACTCACAGAGTTGAACATTCCTCTTGATAGAGCAGTTTTGAAACACTCTTTTTGAAGAATCTGCAAGTGGATATTTGGACCTCTTTGTGGGTCTTTTTTGACACGTTAATTCTTCATGTAAAACTAGAAAGAAGAATTCTCAGAAACTACTTTGTGATGTGTTCTTTCAACTCACCGAGTTGAACCTTCCTTTCGGTAGAGCAGTTTTGAAACTCTCTTTTTGTAGAATTTTCAAGTAGATATTTAGTGTCGTTTGAGGCCTATGGTAGAAAATGCAATATCTTCATAGAAAAACTAGACAGAATGATTTTCAGAAACTACTTTGTGATGTGTGTGTTTGACTCACAGAGTTTAAACTTTCTTATGATAGAGCAGTTTTGAAACACTCTTTTTGTAGAATCTGCAATTGAATATTAGGACTTTTTTGAGACCTTCTTTGGAAACGGGATTTCTTCATATAAAACTAGACAGAAGAATTCTCAGAAACTTCTTTGTGTTGTGTGCATTCAACTGACGGATTTGAACCTTCCTTTCGATAGAGTAGTTTTGAAATACTCTTTTTGTACAATTTAAAAGTCGATATTTAGACTGGTTTGAGGTCTGTTGCAGAAATGGAAATATCTTCTGAAAAACCAGACAGAATCTTTCTCAGAAACTACCTGTGATGTGTGCATTCAGCTTACAGAGTTTAACCTTTCTTTTGTTAGAGCAGTTTTGAAACACTCTTTTTGTGGAATTTGCAAGTGTATATTTAGAGCGCTTTGAGGCCTACGGTTAGAAAGGAAATATCTTCACATAAAAACAAGACAGAAACATTGTCAGAAACTACATTGTGATATTTGTATTCAACTCACCTAGTTGAACATTCCTCTTGATAGGGCAGTTCCGAAACACTCTTTTTCTAGAATCTACAAGTGGATATTTGGACCTTTTTGTGGCCTTCCTTTGAAACGTGATTTATTCATATAAACCTAGGCAGAAGAATTCTCAGAAACTTCTTTGTGATATGTGCTTTCAACTCACAGAGTTGAAACTTTCTTTCGATAGAGCAGCGTTGAAACACTCTTGTTGTAGAATTTTCAAGTGGACATTTAGCGCCGTTTGAGGCCTGTGGTAGAAAAGGCAACATCTTCACAGAAAAACCAGACAGAGTGATTCTCAGAAATTACTTTATGTTATGTGCTTTCAACTCACAGAATTTAACCTTCCTTTAGATAGAGCAGTTTTGAAACACTGTTTTTGTAGAATCTAAAAATGAATATTTGGACTTTTTTGAGGCCTTCGTTGGAAACGGTATTTCTGCATGTCAAACTTTACAGAAGAATTCTCAGAAACTTCTTTGTGATGTGTGCATTCAGTTGACTGAGTTGAACGTTCCTTTCAATACAGCAATTTTGAAATGCTCTTTTTGTATAATTTCCAAGTGGATATTTAGAGCAGTTTGAGGCCTGTGGTAGAAAAGGAAATATCTTCATAGAAAAACTAGACAGAATCATTCTCAGAAACTACTTTGTGATGTGTGCATTCAGCTTACAGAGTTTAACCTTTCGTTTGATAGAGCAGTTTTGAAACAGTCTTTTTGTGGAATTTGCAAGTGAATATTTAGAGCACTTTGAAGCCAACTGTAGAAAAGGAAATATCTTCACATAAAAACTAGACAGAAGCATTGTCAGAAACTACTTTGTGATATTTGCATTCAACTCACCGAGTTGAACATTCCTCTTGATAGAGCAGTTTTGAAACACTCTTTTTGTGGAGTCTGCAAGTGGATATTTGGACTTCTTTGGGGCCTTCGTTTTGAACGTAATTTCTTCATATCAATCTCGACAGAAGAATTCTCCGAAACTTGTTTGTGATATGTGCATTCAAGTCACAGAGTTGTATCTTCCTTTCGATAGAGCAGTTCTGAAACTCTCTTTTTGTAGAATTTCCAAGTGGATATTTAGCGCCTTTTGAGGCCAGTGGTAGAAAAGGCAATGTCTTCATAGAAATATTAGACAGAATGATTCTCAGAAACTACATTGTGCTGTGTGCGTTCAACTCACAGAGTGGAATCTTTCTTTTGATAGAGCAGTTTTGAAACAATGTTTTTGTAGAATCTGCAAGTGAATATTTGGAGTTTTTGGGGGCCTTCGTTGGAAACGGGAATTCTTCACATAAATCGTGACAGAAGAATTCTCAGAAACTTCTTTGTGATGTGTGCATTCAGCTGACAGAATTGAACCTTCCTTTCAGCAGAGCAGTTTTGAAATACTCTTTTTGTAGAATTTCCAAATGGTTATTTATAGCTGTTTGAGGCCTGTGGTAGAAAAGGAAATATCTTCATAGAAAAACTGGACAGAATCATTCACAGAAACTGCTTTGTGATGTTTGCATTCAGCTTTCAGAGTTTAATCTTTCTTTTGATAGAGCAGTTTTGAAACACTGTTTTTGTAGAATCTGCATGTGAATATTTGGACTTTCTGGGTTCCTTCATTGGAAACGGGAATTCTTCATATAAAAGGTGACAGAAGAATTATCATTAACTTCCTTGTGATATGTTCATTCAACTCACAGAGTTGAGAATTCCTTTCGATAGAGCAGTTTTGAAGTAGTCTTTTGGTAGAATTTCCAAATGGATATTTCGAGCTGTTTGAGGCCTGTGGTAGAAAAAGAAATATCTTCATAGAAAAGCGAGACAGAATCATTCTGAGAAACTGTTTTGTGATGTGTGCACTCAGCTTACAGAGTTTAACATTTCTTTTGATAGAGCAGTTTTGAAACACTCTTTTTGTGGAATTTGCCAGTGTATATTAGAGCGCTTTGAGGCCTAAGGTAGAAAAGGAATTAACTTCACATAAAAACTAGACAGAAGCATTGTCAGAAACTACTTCATGATATTTGCATTCAACTCACAGAGTTGAACATTCCTCTTGATAGAGCATTTTTGAAACACTCTTTTTCTGGAATCTGTGAGTGGATATTTTGACCTCTTTGTGGCCTTCGTTTGAAATGTGATTTCTTCATATAAAACTAGACAGAAGAATTCTCAGAAACTTCTTTGTGATGTGTGCATCCAACTCACAGAATTGAACCTTCCTTTTGTTAGAGCAGTTTTGAAATACTCTTTTTGTAGTATGTCCAAGTGGATATTTAGAGCGTTTTGAGGCCTGTGGTAGAATATGAAATATCTTCATAGAAAAACTAGACAGAATCATTTACAGAAACTACTTGGTGATGTGTGCATTCAGCTTACAGAGTTTAATCTTTCTTTTGATAGAGCAGTTTTGAAATCTGTTTTTGTAGAATCTGCAAGTGAATATTTGAAGTTTTGGGGGCCTTCATTGGAAACTGGATTTCTTCATATAAAACGTGACTAAAGAATCCTCAGAAACTTCTTTGTGATGTGTGCATTCTAGTCACAAAATTGAACTTTCCTTTAGATAGAGCAGTTTTGAAACTTTTTGTGTAGAATTTCCAAGTGGATATTTAGTGCTTTTAGAGGCCTATGGTAGAAAAGCAATAACTTCATAGAAAAACTAGACAGAAGCATTGTCAGAAACTACCTTGTGATATTTGAATTCAACTCACAGAGTTGAACATTCTTCTTTATAGAGCAGTTTTAAACACTCTTTTTGTAGAATCTACAAGTGGATATTTGGACCTCTTTGTGGCTTTCCTTTGAAACGTGATTTCTTCATGTAAATCTAGACATATAAATTCTCAGAAACTTCTTTGTGATGTGTGCTTTCAACTCACAGAGCTGAACCTTCCTTTCGATAGAGGAGTTTTGAAATTCTCTTTTTGTAGAATTTCCAAGTGAACATTGAGTGAAGTTTGAGGCCTATGTTAGAAAAGGAAATATCTTCATACAAAAACTAGACAGAATCATTCTCAGAAACTGCTTTGTGATGTGTGCTTTCAGTTTACAGAGTTTAAATTTTCTTTTGATAGAGCAGTTTTGAAACTCTCTTTTTGTAGAATTTCCAAGTGGATATTTAGAGCAGTTTGAGGCCTATGGTAGAAAAGGAAATATCTTCACATAAAAATTAGGCAGAAGCATTGTCAGAAACTTCTTTGTGATACTTGCCTTCAACTGACAAAGTTGCGCATTCCTCTTGATAGAGCAGTTTTGAAACATCTTTTTGTAGAATCTGCAAATTGATATTTAGGTTTTTTGAGGTCTTCGTTTGAAAGGGGGTTTCTTCATATAAAACTTGACATAAGAATTCTCAGAAACTTCTTTGTGATGTGTGCATTCAACTGCAAGAGATGAACCTTCCTTTCGATAGAGCAGTTTTGAAATAATCTTTTTGTAGTATTCCCAAATGGATATTTATTGCGGTTAAAGGCCTGTGGTAGAAAAGGAAATATCTTCATAAAAAAACTAGACAGAATATTTCTCAGAAACTACTTTGTGATGTGTGCATTCAGCTTACAGAGTTTAACCTTTCCTTTGATAGAGCAGTTTTGAAACAAAATTTTTGTGGTATTTGCAAGTATATATTTAGATTGCTTTGTGGCCTATGGGAGAAAAGGAAATATCTTCGCATAAAAACTAGACAGAAACATTGTCAGAAACTACCTTGTGATATTTGCATTCAACTAACAGAGTTGAAAGTTCCTCTTGATAGAGCATTTTTGAAACACTCTTTTTGTAGAACCTGCAAGTGGATATTTGGACCTCTTTGTGGCCTTTGTTTGAAACTTGATTTCTTAATGTAAAACTAGACAGCAGAATTCTCAGAAAATTTTGTGATGTATGCTTTGAACTCACAGAGTTGAATCATCCTTTCGATAGAGCAGTTTTCAAACCCTCTTTTTGTAGAATTTCCAAGTGGATATTTAGAGCCGTTTGAGGCCTCTGTTAGAAAAGGAAATATTTTCATAGAAAAACTAGACAGAATGATTCTCAGATACTACATTGTGATGTGAGCTTTCAACTCACAGAGTTAAACCTTTCTTTTGATAGAGCAGTTTTGAAACACTGTTTTTGCAGAATCTGCAAGTGGATATTTAGAACTCTTTGTGGCCTTCATTTGAAACGTGATTTCTTCATATAAAACTTGACAGAAGAATTCTCAGAAATTTATTTGTGATGTGTGCTTTCAACTCACAGAGTTGTCTTCCTTTTGATAGAGCAGTTTTGAAACTCTGTTTTTGTAGAATTTCCAAGTGGATATTTAGCGCCATTTGAGGCCTATAGTGGAAAAGGCAATATCTTCATAGAAAAACTAGACAGAATGATTCTCAGAAACTACTTTATGATGTGTGCGATCTATTCACAGAGTTTAATCTTTCTATTGATAGAGCAGTTTTGAAACATTCTTTTTGTAGATTCTGCTTGTGAATATTCGGACTCTCTTGAGGCCTTTGTTGGAAACAGGATTTCTTCATTTAAAACTTGACAGAAGAATTCTCAGAAACTTCTTTCTAATGTGTGCATTCAACTTACAGGTTTGAACCTTCCTTTCAATAGAGCAGTTTTGAAACTCTTTCTGTGGCATTTCCAAGTGGATATTTAACGCAGCTTGAGGCCTGTGGTAGAAAAGGGAATATCTTCTTAGAAAAACTAGTCAGAATGATTCTCAGAAACTACATTGTGATATTTGCATTCAACTCACAGTGTTGAAAATTCCTCTTGATAGAGCAGTTTTGAAACACCCTTCTTTAGAATCTGCAAATTAATATTTGGACTTTTTTGAGACCTTCGTTGGAATCAGGTTTTCTTCATATAAAACATAACATAAGAATTCTCAGAAACTTCTTTATGATGTGTGCATTCAACTCCCAGGGTTGAACCTTCCTTTCAATAGAGCAGTTTTGAAACACATTTTTTTTTGTAATGTGCATGTGTATATTTAGAGCGCTTTGAGGCCTAGGGTAGAAAAGGAAATATCTTCACATAAAAATTAGACAGAAGCATTGTCAGAAACTACTTTGTGCTATTTGCATTCCACTCACAGAGTTGAACGTTCCTCTTGATAGAGCAATTTTGAAACACTCTTTTTGTAGTATCTGCAAGAGAATATTTGGACTCTTTTGGGGCCTTCGTTGGAAACGGGTTTCTTCATATAAACTTGAGAGAAGAATTCTAAGAATCTTCTTTGTGATGTGTGCATTCAACACTCACACTTGAACCTTCTTTTCAATAGAGCAGTTTTGATTTACTCTTTTTGTAAAATTTCCAACTGTATATTTTGAGCGGTTTGAGGTCTGTGGTAGAAAAGGAAATATCTTCATAGAAAAACTGGACAGAATCATTCCTAGAAACTTATTTTTGATGTGTGCATTCAGCTTACAGAGTTTAACATTTCTTTTGATAGAGCAGTTTTGAAACACTCTTTCTGTTGAATTTGCAAGTGTATATTTAGAATGCTGTGAGGCCTACGGTAGAAAAGGAAATATCATCACATAATAACTAGACAGAAACATTGTCAAACACTACTTTGTGATTTTTGCATTCAATTCACAGAGTTGAACGTTCCTCTTGATAGAACAGTTTTGAAACACTCTTTTTGTAGAGTCTGCAAGTGGATATTTGTGCCTGTTTGCGGCCTTCTTTTGAAACGTGATTTCTTCATATAAAACTAGACAGACGAACTCTCAGAAACTTCTTTGTGATGTGTGCTTTAAACTCACAGAGTTGAACCTTCCTTTCAATAGAGAAGTTTTGAAACTCTCTTTTTGTTGAATTTCGAAGTGGATATTTAGCGCCGTTTCAGGCCTATGGTAGAAAAGGCAATATCATCTTCATAGAAAAACTAGACAGAATGATTTCCAGAAACTAATTTGTGATGTGTGCGTTCAACTCACAGAGTTTAACCTTTCTTTTGATAGAGCAGTTTTGAAACACTCGTTTTGTAGAATCTGCAAGTGAATATATGGACTTTTTTGAGGCCTTCTTTGGAAAGGGGATTTCTTCATATAAAACTTGACAGAAGAATTCTCAGAAACTCCTTTGTGATGTGTGCATTGAACTCACAGAGTTGAACCTTCATTTCAATACAGCAGTTTTGAAATAATCTTTTGGTAGAATTTCCAAGTGGATATTCAGAGCGGTTTGAGGCCTGTGGTAGAAAAGGAAATATCTTCATAGAAAAATTAGACAGAATCATTCTCAGAAACTACTTTGTAATGTGTGCATTCAGCTGACAGAGTATAAACTTTCTTTTGGTAGAGCAGTTTTGAAACACTCTTTTTGTGGAATTTGCAAGTGTATATTTAGAGTGCTTTGAGGCCTACAGTAGAAAGGGAATATCTTCACATAAAAACTAGAGAGATGCATTGTCAGAAACTACTTTGTGACATTTACTTCAACTCACAGAGTTGAGCATTCGTCTTGATTGAGCAGTTTGGAAACACTCTTTTTGTAGAATCTGCAAGTAAATATTTGGACTTTTTGAGGCCTTCGTTGGAAACGGGATTGTTTCATATAAAAGTTGACAGAAGAATTCCCAGAAAATACTTCGTGATCTGTGCATTCAACTCACAGAGTTGAAGCTTCCTTTCGATAGAGCAGTTTTGATATAATCTTTTTGTAGAATTTCCAATTGGATATTTAGAGCCTTTTGAGGCCTATTGTAGAAAAGGAAATACCTTCATAGAAAAACTTGACAGAATCATTCTCAGAAACTACTTTGTGATGTGTGCATTCAGCTTATTGGGTTTAAACTTTCCTTTGATAGAGAAGTTTTCAAAGACTCTTTTTGTAGAATTTGCAAGTGTATATTTAGAGCGCTTTGAGGCCGACAGTAGGAAAGGAAATATCTTCACAAAACTAGACAGAATCATTGTCAGAAACTACTTTGTGATATTTGCATTCAACTCACAGAGTTGAACATTCCTTTTGATAGAGCAGTTTTGAAACACTATTTTTGTAGGATCTGCAAATTAATATTTGGACTTTTTTGAGGCCTTCGTTGGAAACGGGATTTCTTCATGTAAAACTTGACAGAAGAATTCTCAGAAACTTCTTTGTGATGTGTGCATTCAACTCCCAGAGTTGAACCTTCCTTTCGATAGATCAGTTTAAAACTCTCTTTTTGTAGATTTCCAAGTGGATATTTAGCGCCATTTGAGGCCTGTGGTTGAAAAGGCAATATCTTCATAGAAAAATTAGAAAGAATGGTTCTCAGAAACTACTTTGTAATGTGTGCGTTCAACTCACAGAGTTTAACCTTTTTTTTTTTGATAGAGCAGCTTTAAACACTCTGTTTGTAGAATCTGCAAGTGGATATATTGACCTCTTTGTGGCGTTCGTTTGAAACGTGATTTCTTCATATAAAACTAGACAGAAAAATTCTCAGAAACTTCATTGTGATGAGTGCTTTCAACTCACAGATTTGAAACATCCTTTCAATATAGCAGTTTTGAAGCTCGGTTTTTGTAGAATTTCCAAGTGGCTATTTAGCATCGCTTGAGGCCTATGGTAGAAAAGGAAATATCTTCATAGAAAAACTAGACAGAATGATTCTCAGAAACTATATTCTCATGTGTGAGTTCTATTCACTGAGTTTTAACTTTCTTTTGACAGAGCAGTTTTGAAACACTCTTTGTGTAGAATGTGCAAGTGAATATTTGGACATTTTTGAGGCCTTGGTTGGAAACGGGATTTCTTGATATAAATCTTACAGAAGAATTCTCAGAAGTTTCTTTGCGATGTGTGCTTTCAACTCACAGAGTTGAACCTTCCTTTCAATAGAGCAATTTTGAAATACTCTTTCTGTACTATTTCCCAGTGGATATTTAGACTGGTTTGAGGCCTATGGTAGAAAGGGAATTATCTTCAAAAAAAAACTAGACAAAATCATTCTCAGAAACAACTTTGTGATGTGTGCATTCAGCTAACAAAGTTTAAACTTTCTTTTGATAGAACAGTTTTGAAACACTCTTTTTTTTGGTATTTGCAAGTGCATATCTATAGAGGTTTGAGGACTACAGTAGAAAAGGAAATATCTTCAATTAAAAACTAGACAGAAGCATTGTCAGAAACTACTTTGTGATATTTGCGTTCAACTAATGGAGTTGAACATTCGTCTTGATAGAGCACATTGGAAACACTATTTTTGTAGGATCTGCAAGTAAGTATTTGGACTTTTTGGAGCCTTCGTTGGAAACGTCATTTCTTCATATAAAACTTGGCAGAAGAATTCAGAGACACTTCTTTGAGACTTGTGCATTCAACTCACAGAGTTGAACCTTCCTTTCGATAGATCAGTTTTGAAATACTCTTTTTGAAGTATTTCCAAGTGGATATTTAGAGCGGTTTGAGGCCTATTGTAAAAAAGGAAATATCTTCCTAGAAAAACTAGACGGAATAATTCTCAGAAACTACTTTGTGATGTGTGCATTCAGCTAACAGAGTTTAAGCTTTCTTTTGATAGAGCAGTTTTGAAACACTGCTTTTGTGGAATTTGTAAGTGTATAGTTAGAGAGCTTTGAGGCCTATGGTAGAAAAGGAAATATCTCCAGGTAAAAACTAGGCAGAAGAATTGTCAGAAACTACTTTGTGATGTTTGCATTCAACTCACAGAGTTGAACTTTCCTCTTGATAGAGCAGTATTGAAACACTCATTTTCTAGAATCTGCAAGTGGATATTTGGACCTCTTTGTGGCCTTCGTTTCAAACGTGATTTCTTCATATAAAACTAGACAGAAGAATTCTCAGAAACTTCTTTGTGATATATGCTTTCAAATCACAGAGTTGAATCTTTCTATCGATAGAGCAGCTTTGAAACTCTCCTTTTGTAGGATTTCCAAGTGGATACTTAGAGCCGTTTGAGGTCTATGGTAGAAAAGGCAATATCTTCATAGAAAAACTAGACAGAATGATTCTCAGAAACAACTTTGTGATGTGTGCATTCAATGCACTGGGTTTAACGTTTCTTTTGATAGAGCAGTTTTGAAACACACTTTTGGTAGAATCTGCAAGTGAATATTTGGACTTTTTTTAGGCCTTCTTTGGAAATGGGATTTCTTCAAATAAAACTTCAGGGAAGAATTCTCAGAAACTTCTTGGTGATATCTGCATTCAAGTCACAGAGTTGAGCCTTCATTTCGACAGAGCAGTTTTGAAATACTCTTTTTGTAGAATTTCCATGTGGATATTTATTGCGGTTTGAAGCCTATGGTAGAAATGGAAATATCTTCGTAGAAAAACAAGACAGAATCATTATCAGAAACTTGTTTGTGAAATATGCATACAGCTTTCAGAATTTAACCTTTCTTTTGATAGAGCAGTTATGAAACACTCTTTTTGTGTAATTTCCAAGTGTATAGTTCGAGCGTTTCGTGGTCTACCATAGAAAAGGAAATATCTTCACATAAAAACCAGACAGAGGCATTGTCAGAAACTACATTGTGATATTTGCATTCAACTCACAGAGTTGAACATTCCTCTTGATAGTGCAGTTTTAAAACACTCTTTTTGTAGAATCTGCAATTAAATATTTGGACCTCTTTGTGGCGTTCTTTTGAAACGTGATTTCTTCATATAGAACAAGACAGAAGAATTCTCAGAAACTTCTTTGTGATGTGTGCTTTCAACTCACAGAGTTGAACCTTACTTTCGATAGAGCAGTTTTGAAACTCTTTTTGTAGAACTTCCAAGTGGATATTTAGCGTCGTTTGAGGCCTATCGTTGAAAAGGCAATATCTTCATAAAAAA
This sequence comes from Homo sapiens, assembly GCF_000001405.40. NCBI lineage: Eukaryota > Metazoa > Chordata > Mammalia > Primates > Hominidae > Homo > Homo sapiens. The sequence continues at coordinate 90,664,521 of NC_000003.12, read as the reverse complement.
ACTACACAGAGTGATTCTCAGAAACTACTTTGTGAGGTGTGCGTTCAACTCAAAGGGTTTCACCATTCTGTTGATAGAGCAGTTTTGAAACAATGTTTTTGTGGAATCTGCAAGTGAATATTTGGACTTTTTTGAAGCCTTCGTTGGAAACGGGTTTTCTTCATATAAAATTGAACAGAAGAATTCTCAGAAACTTCTTTGTGATGTGTGCATTCAACTAACAGTTTTGAACCTTCCTTTCGAAAGAGCAGTTTTGAAATACTGTTTTTGTATAATTTCCAAATTTATATTTAGCTCCGTTTGAGGCCTCTGGTAGAAAAGGAAATATCTTCATAGAAAAACGAGACAGGATCATTCTCAGAAATTACTTTGTGATTTTTGCATTCAGCTGACAGAGATTAACCTTACTTTTGATAGAGCAGTTTTGAAACACTGCTTTTGTGGAATTTGAAAGTATATATTTAGAGCTCTTTGAAGGCTACGTCGAAAAGGAAATATCTTCACATAAAAACTAGACAGAAGCATTGTCAGAAACTACTTTGTGATATTTGCATTCAACTCACAGAGTTGAACATTCCTCTTGATAGAGCAGTTTTGAAATACTCTTTTTGTAGAATCTGCAATTGATTATTTTGTCCTCTTTGTGGCATTCGTTTGAAACGTAATTTCTTCATATAAAACTAGGCAGAAGAGTTCTCAGAAACTTCTTTGTTATGTGTGCTTTTAACTCACAGAGTTGAACCTTCCTTTCCATAGAGGTGTTTTGAAACTCTCTTCTTGTATAATTTCCAAGTTGATATTTATCGCCGTTTGAGGCCTATGGTAGAAAAGGCAATATCTTCATAGGAAAACTAGACAGAATGATTCTCAGAAACTACTTTGTGATGTGTGCTTTCAACTCACTGGGTTTAATCTTTCTTTTGATAGAGCAGTTTTGAAACACTCTTATTGTAGAATCTGCAGGTGAATATTTCTACTTTTTTGAGGCCTCCGTTGGAAACGGGATTTCTTCATAAAACTTGACAGAAGAATTCTCAGAAACTTATTTGGGAGGTTTGCATTCAACTCAGAGAGTTGAAATTTCCTTTTGATAGAGCAGTTTTGAAATACTCTTTTTGTAGAATTTCAAAGTGGATATTTAGTTCCGTTTGAGGCCTATGGTAGAAAAAGAAATATCTTCATAGAAAAACAAGATAGAATCATTTTCAGAAACTACTTTGTGATGTGTGCATTCAGCTTAAGTGTTTACCATTCTTTTTGATATCGCAGTTTTAAACACTCTTTTTCTGCAATTTGCAAGTGTATATTTTAGTGTTTTGAGGCCTATGGTAGAAAAGGAAATATCTTCACATGAAAACTAGACAGAAGCATTGTCAGAAACTACTTTGTGATATTTGCATTCAACTCACAGAGTTGAAAATTCCTCTTGATAGAGGAGTTTTGAATCACTCTTTTTGTACAATCTGCAATCGGATATTTGGACCTCTTTGTGGCGTTCGTTTGAAACGTGATTTCTTCGTATAAAACTACACAGAAGAATTCTCAGAAACTTCTTTGTGATGTGTGCTTTCAACTCACAGAGTTGAAACTTTCTTTCGATAGAGGAGTTTAGAAACTCTCTTTTTGTAGAATTTCCAAGTCGATATTTAGTGCCGTTTGAGGCCTATGGTAGAAAAGGAAATATCTTTTAAGAAAAACTAGATAGAATGATTCTGAGAAACTTCTTTGTGATGTTTGCTTACGACTCACAGAGTTTAACGTTTCTTTTGATAGAGCTTTTTTGAAACAGTCTTTTTGTAGAATCTGCAAGTGAATATTTGGACTTTTTGGAGGCCTTTTTTGGAAATGGGATTTCTTCATAGAAAACTTGACAGAAGAATTCTCAGAAACTGTTTTGTGATGTGCGCATTCAACTCACAGTGTTAAACCTTCTTTTTGATAGAGCAGTTTTGAAATTCTCTTTTTGTAGAATTTCCAACTGGATATTTAGAGCAGTTTGAGGCCTATGCTAGAAAAGGAAATATTTTCATAGAAAAACTAGACAGAATCATTCTCCGAAACTATTTCTGATGTGTGCATTCAGCTGACAGAGGTTAGCCTTCCTTTTCATAGAGCAGTTTTAAAACAGTCTTTTGGGGAATTTGCAAGTGTATATATAGAGCGCTTTGAGGCCTACCGTATAAAAGGAAATATCTTCACATAAAAACTAGACAAGCATTGTCAGAAACTACTTTGTGATATTTACATTCATCTTACAGAGTTGAACATTCCTCTTGATAGAGCAGTTTTGAAACACTCATTTTGTAGAATCTCCAGGTGGATATTTGGACCTCTTTGTAGCCTTTATTTGAAACGTGATTTCTTCTTCTAAAACTATACAGAAGAAGTCTCAGAAACATATTTGTGATGTATGCTTTCAACTCACATAGTCGAACCTTCCTTTCGACAGGGCAGTTTCGAAACTCTCTTTTTGTAGAATTTCCAAGTGGATATTTGCCGCCTTTTGAGGTCTACGGTTGAAAAGCAAATAGAAAACTAGACATTATGATTCTCAGAAACTACTTTGTGATGTGTGCGTTCAAGTCACAGAATTTAACCTTTCTTTTGATAGAGCAGTTTTGAAACACTCTTTTTGCAGTATGTGCAAGTGAATATTTGAACTTTTTTGAGGCCTTCTTTGGAAACGGGATTTCTTCATATAAACTTGACAGAAGAATTCTCAGAAAATTCTTTGTGATATGTGCATTCAACTCAAATGTTTGAACCTTCTTTTCGATAGAACAGTTTTGAAATTCTCTTCTTTTATTTTTTCCAAGTGGCTATTTAGAGCGGTTTGAAGCCTATGGTAGAAAAGGAAATATCTTCATAGAAAAACTAGACAGAATCATTCTCAGAAACTACTTCGTGAAGTTTGCATTCAGCTTACAGAATTTAACCTTTATTTTGATAGAGCACTTTTGAAACACTCTTTTTGTGGAATTTGCAAGTGTATATTTAGAGCGCTTTGTGGTCTAAGGTAGAAAAGGATATATCTTCACATAAAAACTAGACAGAAGCATTGTCAGAAAATTCTTTGGATATTTGCATTCAACTCACGATGTTGAACATTCCTCTTTATAGAACAGTTTTGAAACGCTCTTTATGTATTATCCGCAAGTGGATATTTGGACTTCTTTGTGGCCTTCTTTTTAAACATGATTTTTTCATATAAATCTAGGCAGAAGAATTCTCAGAAACATTTTGTGATGTGTGCTTTCAACTTACAGATTTGAACCTTCCTTTGGATAGAGCAGTTTTGAAACTCTCTTTTTGTAGAATTTCCAAGTTGGTATTTAGTGCCGTTTGAACCCTACGGTAGAAAAGGAAACATCTTCATAGAGAAACTAGACAAAATGATTCTCATAAACTACTTTGTGATGTGTGCGTTCAACTCACAGAGTTTAAACTTTGTTTTGATAGAGCAGTTTTGAGACACTGTTTTTGTATAATCCGCAAGTTAATATTTGGACTTTTTTGAGGCCTTCGATGGAAACGGGATTTGTTCATATAAAACTTCACAGAAGAATTCTCAGAAACTTTTTTGTGATGTGCGCATTCAACTCAAAGAATTGAACCTTCATTTCAAAGGAGCAGTTTTGAAATACTCTTTTTGTAGAATTTCCAAGTGTGTACTTAGAGCGGTTGGAGGACAATTGTAGAAAAGGAAATAACTTCATAGAAAAACTAGACAGAATCATTCTCAGAAACTGCTTTGTGATGTGTGCATTCAGCTTACAGAGTTTAACTTTTCTTTTGATAGAGCAGTTTTGAAACACTCCTTTTGTGGAATTTGCAAGTTTATATTTAGAGCTCTTTGAGGCCTACTGTAGAAAAGAATATATCTTCAGATAAAAACTAGACAGAAGCATTGTCAAAAACTACTTTGTGATATTTGCATTCAACTCACAGAGTTGAACATTACACTTGATAGAGAAGTTTGAAATACTCTTTTTGTAGAATCTGCAAGTGGATATTTGACCTCTTTTTGGCCTTCGTTTGAAACGTGATTTCTTCATGTAAGACTAGAGAGAAGAATTCCCAGAAACTTCTTTGTGATGTGTGCTTTCCACTCACAGAATTGAAACTTTCTTTGGATAGAGCAGTTTTGAAACTTTCTTTATGTAGAATTTCCAAGTGGATATTTACCACCCTTTGAGGCCAAAGGTATAAAAGGCAACACCTTCATAGAAAAACTAGACAGAATGATTCTCAGAAACTACGTTGTTATTTGTGCATTCAACTCACAGAGTGTAAATTTTCTTTTAGTAGAGCAGTTTTGAAACACTCTTTTTGTAGAATCTGCAAGTGAATATTTGGACTTTTTTGAGGCCTTCGTTGGAAAAGGGATTTCTTCATATAAAAGTTGACATAAGAATTCTCAGAAACTTCTTTGTGATGTGTGCATTCAACTCACAGAGTTGAACCTTCATTTTGAAAGGGCAGTTTTGAAATACTCTTTTTGAAGAATTTCCAAGTGGATATTTAGAACGGTTTGAGGCCTAGGGATGTAAAGGAAATATCTTAGTAGAGAAACTAAATAGAAACATTTTCATAAACTACTTTGTGATGTGTGTATTCAGCTTTCAGAGTTTATCCTTTCTTTGATAGAGCAGTTTTGAACACTCTTTTTGTGGAATTTGCAAGTGTGTTTTTAGAGCGCTATAAGGCCTACAGTAGAAAAGGAGATATCTTCACCTAAAAACTAGACGGAAGCATTGTCAGAAACTACTTAGTGATATTTGCATTCAACTCACTGAGTTGAATATTCCTCTTGATAGAGCAGTTTTGAAACACTCTTTTTGTAGAATCTGCAAGTGGATATGTGGACCTCTTAGAGGCCTTCGTTTGAAACGTGATTTCTTCGTGAAAAACGAGACAGAATAATTCTCAGAAACTCCTTTGTGATGTGAGCTTTCAACTCCCCGATTTGAACCTTCTTTTCGATAGAGGAGTTTTGAAACTCGCTTTTAGTAGAATTTCCAAGTAGATATTTAGTGCCGTTTGAGGCCTAGGGTAGAAAAGTCAATATCTTCGTAGAAAAAGTAGACAGAATGATTCTCAGAAACTACTTTGTGATGTGTGCGTTCAACTCAGAGAGTTTAAACTTTATGTAGATAGAGCAATTTTGAAACTCTCTTTTTGTAGAATCTGCAAGTGAATAGTAGGACTTTTTTGAGGCCTTCCTTGGAAACGTGATTTCTTCATATACAAGTTGTCAGAAGATTTCTCAGAAACTTCTTTCTGATGTGTGCATTCAACTCATAGTGGTAAACCTTCCTTTCGTTAGAACAGTTTTGAAATTCTCTTTTTGTAAAATGTCCGATTGGATATTTAGAGTGGCTTGACGCCTATGCTAGAAAAGGAAATATCTTCATAGAAACACTAGACAGAATCATTCACAGAAACTACCTTTTGATGTGTGCATTCAGCTTGAGGAGTTTAACCTTTCTTTTTGATAGAGCAGTTTTGCAACTCCCTTTTTGTGGAATTTGCAATTTTATATTTAGAGTGCTTTGAGGCATACGGTAGAAAAGGAAATATCTTCACATAAAAACTAGACAGAAGCATTGTCAGAAACTACTTTGTGATATTTGCATTCAACACACAGGGTTGAACATTATTCTTGAAAGAGCAGATTATAGACTCTCCTTTTGCGAATCTACAAGTGGATATTTGTACCTCTTTGTGGCCGTCGTTTGAATCTTGATTTCTTCATTTAAAACTAGATAGAAGAATTCTCAGAAAGCTCTTTGTGATGTGTCCTTTCAACTCAAATATTTGAACCTTCCTTTCAATAGAGCAGTTTTGAATCTCCTCTTTTGTAAAATTTCCAAGTGGATATTTAGCGCCGTTTGAGGCCTATGATAGAGAAGGCAATAACTTCATAGAAAAAGTAGTCATTATGATTCTCAGAAACTACTTTGTGATGTGTGCATTGAATGCACGGAATTTAAGCTTTCTATTGATAGAGGAGTTTTGAAACACTGTTTTTCTAGAATCTGCAATTGAATATTTGGTCTTTTTTGAGGCCTTCGTTGGAAACGGGATTTCTTCATATAAAACTTGACAGAGGAATTTTCAGAAACTATATTGTGTTGTGTGCATTCAACTCACAGACTTGAACCTTCCTTTTGAATGTGCAGTTTTGAAATACTCTTTTTGTAGAATTTCCAAGTGTATATTTAGAGCGTTTTGAGGCCTAGGGTAAAAAAGGAAATATCTTCATAAGAAAACCAGACAGAATCATTCTGAGAAACTACTTTGTGATGTGTGCATTCAGCTTACAGAGTTTAACCTTTCCTATGATAGAGCAGTTTTGAAACACTCTTTTCGTGGAATTTGCAATTGTATATTTAGTGCACTTTGAGGCCTATGGTAGAAAAGGAAATATCTTCCCATAAAAACTAGACAGAAGCAATGTCAGAAACTCCTTTGTGATATTTGCATTCAACTCACAGAGTTGAACATTCCTCTTGATAGAGCGGTTTTTAAACACTCTTTTTGCACAGTCTACAAGTGGATATTGGGACCTCTTTGTGGCCTTCGTTTGAAACGTGATTTCTTCATATATAACTGGACAGAAGAATTCTCAGAAACTACTTTGTGATGTGGGCTTTCAACTCACAGAGTTGAACATTCCTTTCAATACAGCAGTTTTGAAATACTCTTTGTTTAGAATTTCCAAGTGGATATTTACAGCGGTTTGAGGCCTGTGCTAGAAAAGGAAATATCTTCATAGGAAAACTTGACAGAATGATTCTCAGAAACTACATTGTGATGTGTGTGTTCAACTCACAGGGTTTAACCTTTCTTTTGATAGAGCAGTTTTGAAACACTCTTTTTGTGGAATCTGCAAGTAAATATTTGGACTTTCTTAAGGCCTTCTTTGGAAACGGGATTTCTTCATTAAAACTTCACAGAAGAATTCTCAGAAAATTCTTTGTGATGTGTGCATTCATCTCACAGATTTGAACCTTCCGTTGAATAGAGCAGTTCTGAAATACTCTTTTTGTAGATTTTCCAAGTGGGTATTTAGAGTGGTTTGAAGCCTGTGGTAGAAAAGGAAATATCTTCATTGAAAACCTAGACAGAATCATTCTCAGAAACTGCTTTGTGATGTGTGCATTCAGCTTACAGAGTTTTACATTACTTTTGATAGAGCAGTTTTGAAACACTCTTCTTTTTGCGAAATTTGCAAGTGTGTATTTTGAGCGCTTTGAGGCCTACCTTAGAAAATAAAATATCTTCATATAAAAACTAGACAGAAGCATTGTCAGAATCTGCTTTGTGATATTTGCATTCAACTAACACGGCTGAATCTTCTTCTCTATAGAGCAGTTTTGAAACACTCTTTTTGTAGAATCTGCAAGTGGATATTTGGACCTCTTCGTGGCCTTCGTTTGAAACGTGATTTCTTCATTTAAAACTAGAAAGAAGAATTCTCTGAAACTTCTTTGTTATGTGATCATTCAACTCACAGAGTTGAACCTTCCTTCAGATAGAGCAGCTTCGAAATACTCTTTTTGGAGAATTTCCAACTGGATATTTAGAGCAATTTGAGGCTGATGGTAGAAAAGGCAATATGTTCATAGAAAAACTAGACAGAATGACTCTGAATGTACCTTGTGATGTGTGCGTTCAACTCACAGAGTTTATTCTTTCTTTTGATAGAGCAGTTTTGAAACACTCTTTTTGTAGAGTCTGTAAGTGAATATTTGGGCTTTCTTGGGGCTTTGTTGGAAACAGGATTTCTTCAAATAAAACTTGACAGAAGAATTCTCAGAAACTTCTTTGTGATGTGTGCATTCAACTCAAAGTCTTGAACCTTCCTTTCGATAGAGCAGTCTTGAAATACTCTTTTCGTAGAATTTTCCAACGGATATTTACAGTGGTTTCAGGCCGGTGGCACAAAAGGAAATATCTTCATTGAAAAAGTAGACAGAATCATTCTGAGAAACGACTTTGTGATGTGTGCGTTCAGCTTACAGAATTTAACCTTTCTTTTGATAGAGCAGTTTTGAAACTCTTTTTGTAGAATTTCCAAGTGTATACTTAGAACGGTTTGAGGCCTATGGTAGAAAAGGCAATATCTTCATAGAAAAGCTAGACAGATTGATTCTCAGAAACAACTCTGTGTTGCGTGCATTCAACTCACAGAGTTTAAACTTTCTTTTGATAGAGCAGTTTTGAAACACACTTTTTGTAGAATCTGCAGGTAAATATTTGGAGTTTTTTAGGCCTTCGTTGGATACGGGACTTCTCCATATAAAACTTGACAGAAGAATTCTCAGAAACTTCTTTGTGATGTAAGCATTCAACTCACAGAGTTGAAACTTCCTTTCGATAGAGCAGTTTTGAAATACTCTTTTTGTAGTATTTCCAAGTGGATATTTAGTGCGGTTTGAGGCCTCTGGTAGAAAGGGAAATATATTCATTGAAAAAATAGACAGAATCATTCTCAGAAACAACTTTGTGATGTGTGCGTTCAGCTTACAGAATTTAACCTTTCTTTTGATAGAGCAGCTTTGAAACACTCTTTCTGTGGAATTTGCAAGTGCATATTTAGAGCGGTTTGAGGCCTAGGGTAGAAAAGGAAATATTTTCACATAAAAACTAGACAGAAACATTGTCAGAAACTACTTTGTGATACTTGCATTTAACTCACAGAGTGGACAATTCCTCTTGATAGAGCAGTTTTGAAACACTCTTTTTGAAGAATCTGCAGGGGGATATTTGGATGTCTATGTGGCCTTCTTTTGAAACGTGATTTCTTCATCTAAACCTAGACAGAAGAATTCTCAGAAACTTCTTTGTGATGTGTGCTTTCAACTCACAGAGTTGAACCTTACTTTCAATAGGGCAGTTTTGAAACTCTCTTTCTGTAGATTTCCAAGTGTATATTTAGCGCCATTTGAGGCCTATGGTAGAAAAGGCAATATATTCATAGAAAAACTAGACAGAAAGAATGATTCTCAGAAACTACTTTGTGGTTTGTGTTTTCAACTCACAGAGTTTAACCTTTCTTTTGGTAGAGCAGATTTGAAACGCTCTTTTTTAGAACCTACAAGTGAATATTTGGACTTTTTTGAGTCCTTCGTTGGAAACGGGTTTTCTTCATATAAAACTAGACAGAAGAATTCTCAGAAACTTCTTTGTGATGTGTGCATTCAACTCACAGGTTTGAACCTTCCTTTCGATAGATTAGCATTGAATCTCTCCTTTTTTAGAAATTCCAAGTGGATATTTAACGGCATTTGAGGCCTATGGTAGAAAAGGCAATATCTTCATAGAAAAGCTAGACAGAATGATTCTCAGAAACAACTCTGTGATGTGTGCATTCATCTCACAGAGTTTAAACTTTATTTTGATACAGCAGTTTTGAAACACGCTTTTTGTAGGATCTGCAAGTGAATATTTGGACTTTTTTGAGGCCTTCGTTGGAAACGGGATTTCTTCATATAAAACTTGACAGAAGAATTCTCAGAAACTTCTTTGTGATGTGAGCATTCAACTCACAGGGTTGAACCTTCCTTTCCATAGAGCAGTTTTGAAACACTCTTTTTGTAGAATTTCCAAGTGGATATTTAGTGCGGTTTGAGGTCTCTGGTGGAAAAGAAAATATCTTCATAGAAAAACTAGACAGAATCATTCTCAGAAGCTGCTTTGTGATGTGTGCATTCAGCTTACAGAGTTCAACCTTTCTTTTGATAGAGCAGCTTTGAAACACTCTTTCTCTGCCATTTGCAAGTGCATATTTAGAGTGCTTTGATGACTACGGTAGAAAAGGAAATATCTTCACATAAAAAGTTGTCAGAAGCATTGTCAGAAACTACCTTGTGATATTTGCATGCAACTCACAGAGATGAACATTCCTCTTGATGGAGCAGTTTTAAAACACTCTTTTTGAAGATTCTGTAAGTGGATTTGTTGACCACCTTGCGGCCATCGTTTGAAACGGGATTTCTTCATATAAACCTGGAAAGAAGGATTCTCAGAAACTTGTTGGTGACGTGTGCTTTCAAATCACAGAGTTGAACCTTCCTTTCGATACAGCAGTTTTGAAACTCTCTTTTTGTAGTATTTCCAAGGGGATATTTAGCACAGTTTGACGCCTATGGTAGAAAAGTGAATAATTTCATAGAAAAGCTAGACAGATTGATTCTCAGAAACTACTTTGTGGTGTGTGCCTTCCACTCACAGAGTTTAGCCATCTTTTGATAGAGCAGTTTAGACACTCACTTTTTGTAGAATCTGCACTGGAATATTTGGACTTTTTTTGAGGCCTTCGTTGGAAACAGTATTTCTTCATATAAAACTTGACAGAAGAATTCTCAGAAACTTCTTTTTGATGTGTGCATTCAACTCACAGAGTTGAACCCTCCTTTCGATACAGCAGTTATGAAATACTCTTTTTGTAGAATCTCCAAGTGGATAGTTAGAGCGGCTTGAGGGCTATGGTAGAAAAGGAAATATCTTCACAGAAAAATTAGACAGAATGATTCTCAGAAACTACTTTGTGGTGTGTGCGTTCAACTCACATATTTAAACATTGCTTTTGATAGAGCAGTTTTGAAACACTCTTTTTGTGGAATTTTCAAGCGTATATTTAGAGCGCTTTGAGGCCTACGGTAGTAAAGGAATTATCTTCACATAGAAACTAGACAGAAGCATTGTCAGAAACTACTTTGTGATATTTGCATTCAACTCACAGAGTTGAATATTCCTCTTGAAAGAGCAGTTTTGAAACACTCTTTTTGTAGAATCTGCAAGTGGATATTTTGACCTCTTTGTGGCCTTCATTTGAAATGCTATTTCTTCATGTAAAACCAGACAGAAGAATTCTCAGAAACTTCTTTGTGATGTGTGCATTCAACTCACAATATTGAACCTTCCTTACAATAGAGCATTTCTGAAATACTCTTTTTGAAGAATTTCCAAGTGGATAATTAGAGCGGTTTGAGGCCTGTGGTAGAAAAGGAAATATCTTCATAGAAATCGACGACAGAATCATTCTCACAAACTACTTTGTGATGTGTGCATTCAGCTAACAGTGTTTAAACTTTCTTTTGATAGAGCAGTTTTGAAACACTCTTTTTGTGGAATTTTCAAGTGTATATTTAGAGCTCTTTGAGGGCTACGGTAGAAAAGAGAATATCTTCACATAAAAACTACATTGAAGCATCGTCAGAAACAACTTTGTGATATTTGCATTCAACTCACAGAGATGAACATTCCTCTTGATAGAGCAGCTTTGAAACACTCTTTTTGTAGAATCTGCGAGTGGATATTTGGACCCCTTTGTTGTCTTCGTTAGAAACGTGATTTCTTCGTATAAAACTACACAGAAGAATTCTCAGAAACTTCTTTGTGATGTTTGCTTTCAACTCACAGAGTTGAACTTTCCTTTCGAAAGGGCAGTTTTGATCCTCCATTTTGGTAGAATTTTCACGTGGATATTTAGCGCCATTGAGGCCTACGGTAGAAAAGACAATATCTTCATAGAAAAACTAGACAGAATGATTCTCCGAAACTACATTGTGCTGTGTGCGTTCAACTCACAGTGTTTAATCTTTCTTTTGATAGAGCAGTTTTGAAAAACTGTTTTTTTAGAACCTGCAAGTGAATATTTGGAGTTTTGGGGGCCTTGGTTGGAAACGGGATTTCTTCCTATAAAACATGACAGAAAAATTCTCAGAAACATATTTGTGATGTGTGCATTCAACTCACAGAATTGAACCTTCCTTTCGATAGAGCAGTTTTGAAATACTCTTTTTGTGGAATTTCCAAGTGTATATTTAGAGCGGTTTGAGGCATGTGGTAGAAAAGGAAATATCTTCATAGATAAACAAAATAGAATCATTCACAGAAACTACTTTGAGATGTATGCATTCAACTTACAGAGTTTAATCTTTCTTTTGATAGAGCAGTTTTGAAACACTACTTTTGTAGAATCTGCAAGTGAATATTTGGACTTTTTGGCAGCTTTTTTGGAAATGGGGTTTCTTCATATAAAACGTGACAGAAGAATTATCAGAAACTTACTAGTGATGTGTGCATTCAACTCACAGAGTTGAAACTACCTTTCGATAGAGCAGTTTGGAAATACTCTTTTTGTAGGATTTCTAAGTGGATATTTAGAGTGGTTTGAGGCGTATGGTAGAAAAGGTAATATCTTCATAGAAAAACTAGACAGAATCATTGTCAGAAACTACTTTTTGATGTGTGCATTTAGCTTACAGAGTTTAACCTTTCTTTTGGTAGAGCAGTTTTGAAACACTCTTTTTGTGGAATTTGCATGTGTATATTTCGAGCGCTTTGAAGCCTATGGTAGAAAAAGAAATATCTTCACATAAAAACTAGACAGAAGCATTGTCAGAAACTACTTTATGATATTTGCATTCAACTCAGTGTTGAAAATTCCTTTTGTTGGAGCAGTTTTGAAATACTCTTTTTGTAGATTCTGCAAGTGGATACGTTGACCTCTTTGTGGCCTTCGTTTGAAACGGGATTTCTTCATACGAAACGTGAGAGAAGAATTCTCAGAAACTTCTTTGTGATGTGTGCATTCAACTTACAGAGTTGAACCTTCCTTTCGAAACAGCTGTATTTAAACTCTCTTTTTGTAGAATTTCCAAGTGGATATTTAGCGTGGTTTGAGGCCTTTGTTTCAAAATGAAATAACTTCATAGAAAAATTAGACAGAATGATTCTCAGAAACTCCTTTGTGTTGTGTGCATTCAACTCAAAAACTTTAACTTTGCTTCAGATAGAGCAGTTTTGAAACTCTCTTTTTGCAGAATCCGCAAGTGAATATTTGGACTTTTTGAGGCCTTCTTTGGAAAAGGGATTTCTTCATATAAAACTTGACAGAAGTATTACCAGAAACTTCGTGGTGACGTGTGCATTAAACTCACTGAGTTGAACTTTCCTTTCGATAGAGCAGTTTTGAAATACTCTTTTTGTAGTATTTCCAAGCGGATATTTAGAGTGGTTTGAGGCCTATGGTAGAACAGGAAATGTCTTCATAGAAAAAATATACAGAATCATTCTCAGAAACTACTTTGTGATGTGTGCATTCAGCTTACGTATATTAAACTTTCTTTGATAGAGCAGTTTTGAAACACTCTTTTTCTGGATTTTCCAAGTGTATATTGAGACTGATTTGAGGCCTACTTTAGAAAAGAAAATATGTTCACATAAAAACAAGACAGAAGCATTGCCAGAAACTACTTTGTGATATTTGAATTCAACCCAAAGAGGTGAACATTCCTCTTGATAGAGCAAATTTGAAACTCTCTTTTTGCAGAATCTGCATGTGGATATTTGTACCTCTTTGTGGCCTTCGTTTGAAACGTGATTTCTTCATATAAAACTAGACAGAAGAATTCTCAGAAACTTCTTTGTGATGTGTGCTTTCAACTCACAGGAATGAAACTTCCTTTGGATACAGCAGTTTTGAAACTCTCTTTTTGTAGAATTTCGAAGTGAATATTTAGCGCCGTTTGAGGCCTAAGCTAGAAAAGGCAATATCTTCATAGAAAATCTAGAAAGAATGATTCACAGAAACAACTTTGTCGTGTGCGCGTTCAACTCACAGAGTTTAACTTTCTTTTGATAGAGCAGTTTTGAAACACTATTTTGTAGTATCTGCAAGAGAATATTTGGACTTTTTGGGGGCCTTCGTTGTAAACGGGATTTCTTCTTATAAAACGTGATAGAAGAATTCTCAGAAACTTCTTTGTGATGTGTGCATTCAACTCACAGATTTGAACTTTCCTTTCCATAGAGCAGTTTTGAAATACTCTTTTGGTAGAATTTCCAAGTGGATATTTAAAGCGGTTTGAGGCCTGTGGTAGAAAAGGAAATATCTTCATAGAAAAACTAGACAAAATCATTTTCAGAAACTACTTTGTGATGTGTGCATTCAGCTTACAGAGTTTAACCTTTCTTTTGATAGAGCAGTTTTGAAACCCTCTTCTTGAGGAATTTGCAAGTATATATTTTGAACACTTTGAAGCCTATGGTAGCAAAGGAAATATCTTCACATAAAAACTAGACAGAAGCATTGTCAGAAACTACTTTTAGATATATGCATTCAACTCACAGAGTTCAACATTTATCTTGATAGAGCAGTTTCGAAACACTCTTTTTGTAGAATCTGCAAGCGGATATTTGGACCTCTTTGTGGCCTTCATTTGAAACGTGATTTCTTCATATAAAACTAGACAGAAGAATTCTCAGAAACTTCTTTGTGATGTGACCTTTCAGCTCACAGTGTTGAACCTTCCTCTCGATGGAGCAATTTTGAAAATCTATTTTTGTAGAATTTCCAAGTGGATATTTAGCCCCGGTTGAGGCATATTTTAGTAAAGACAATATCTTCATAGAAAAACTAGACAGACTCATTCTCAGAAACTACTTTGTGCTGTGTGCATTCAGCTTACAGAGTTTAACATTTCCTTTCTAAGAGCAGTTTTGAAACACTCTTATTGTGGAATTTGCAAGTGTATATTTAGAGCGCTTTGCTGCATACCGTAGAAAAGGAAGTGTCTTCACATAAAACAATACAGAAGTGTTGTCGGAAACAACTTTGTGACATTTGCATTCAAATCACAGAGTTGAAGATTCCCCTTAATAGGGCAGTTTTGAAAAACTCTTTTGTAGAATCTTCAAGTTTATATTTGAACATTTGTGTGGCCTTCGATTGAAACGTGATTTCTTCATATAAAACTAGACAGAAGAATTCTCAGAAACTTCTTTGTGATGTGTGCTTTCAACTCACAGAGTTGAACTTTCCTTTCGATAGAGCAGTTTTGAAACTCTCTTTCTGTGAAATTTCCAAGTGGACATTTAGCGCCGCTTGAGGCCTATGGTAGAAAAGGAAATATCTTCATAGAAAAATTAGACAGAACGATTCTCAGAAACTACATTGTGCTGTGTGCGTTCAACTGACAGACTTTAATCTTTCTTTTGATAGAGCAGTTTTGAAACACTATTTTTGTAGTATCTGCAAGCGAATATTTGGATTTTTTCGGGGCCTTCGTTGGAAACGGGATTTCTTCGTTTGAAAAGTGACAGAAGAATTCTCAGACTACTTTGTGATGTGTGCATTCAACTCACAGAATTGAACCTTCCTGTTGATAGAGCAGTTTTGACATACACTTTTTTTAGTATTTCCAAGTGGATATTTACAGCGGTTTGAGGTCTGTGGTAGAAAAGGAAGTATCTACCTAGAAAAACTAGACAGAATCATTCACAGAAACTACTTTGTGATGTGTGCATTCAGCTTACAGGGTTTAATCTTTCTTTTGATAGAACAGTTTTGAAACACTCTTTTTGTAGAATCCGGTAGTGAATATTTGGACTTTTTGGTGGCCTTCGTTGGAAACGGGATTTCTTTATATAAAACGTGATAGAAGAATTCTCAGGAACTTCTGTTTGATGTGTGCATTGAACTCACAGATTTGAACCTTCCTTTCGATAGAGCAGTTTTGAAATACTCTTTTTGTGGAATTTTCAAGTGGATATTTAGAGCGTTCTGTGGCCTCTGGTAGAAAAGGAAATATCTTCATAGAAAACCTAGACAGAATCATTCTCAGAAGCTTCTTTGTGATGTGTGCTTTCAGCATTCATAGTTCAACCTATCTTTTGATAGAGCAGTTCTGAAACACACTTTTTGTGGAATTTTCATGTGTATATTTAGAGCGATTTGTGGCCTACGGTAGAAAAGGAAATATCTTCACATAAAAACTAGACCGAAGCATTGTCAGAAAATCCTTTGTGATATTTGCATTCACCTCACAGAGTGGAACATTCCTCTTGATAGATCAGTTTTGAAACACTCTTTTTGTAGAATCTGCATGTGGATATTTTGATCTCTTCGTGGCCTTCGTTTGAAACGTGATTTCTTCATAAAAAACTAGACAGAATGATTCTCAGAAAATAGTTTGTGATGTGTGCGTTCAACTCAGAGAGTTTAACCTTTCTTTTGATAGAGCAGTTTAGAAACACTCTCTTTGTAGAATCTGCAAGTGAATATTCGGACTTTTAGAGGCCTTCTTTGGAAATGGTTTTCCTTCATATAAAACTTGACAGAAAAATTCTCAGAAACTTATTTGTGATGTGTGCATTCAACTTACAGATTTGTGCCTTCCTTTCGATTGACCAGTTTTGAAATACTCTTTTTGAAGAATTTCCAAGTGGATATTTAGAGCGATTTGAGGCCTGTGGTAAAAAAGCGAATGTCTTCTTAGAAAAACTAGAGAGAATCATTCTCAGAAACTGCTTTGTGATGTGTGCATTCAGCTAATAGAGTTTAACTTTCTTTTGATAAAGCAGTTTTGAAACACTCTTTCTGTGGAATTTACAAGTCTATATTTAAAGAACTTTGAGGCCTCCGGTAGAAAAGAAAATATCTTCACATAAAAACTAGACCGAAGCATT
The DNA here is from genome assembly GCF_000001405.40 of Homo sapiens. Classification (NCBI taxonomy): domain Eukaryota; kingdom Metazoa; phylum Chordata; class Mammalia; order Primates; family Hominidae; genus Homo; species Homo sapiens. Next base: position 90,648,039 of record NC_000003.12, on the reverse strand, counting down.
GTCAGAAACTACTTTGTGATATTTGCATTCAACTCACAGAGGTGAAAATTCCTTTTGATAGAAGAGTTTTGAAACTCTCTTTTTGTGGAATCTGCAAGTGGATATTTGGACCTCTTTGTGGCCTTCCTTTGAATCATGATTTCTTTATATAAAACTAGACAGAAGAATTCTCAGAATCTTCTTTGTGAAGTGGGTTTTCAACTCACAGAGTTGAAAATTCCTTTCGATAGAACAGTTTTGAGACTCTCATTTTTCAGAATTTCCAAGTGGATATTTAGCGCCGTTTAAGGCCTATTGTCGAAAAGGCCATATCTTCGTAGAAAAATTAGACATAATGATTCTCAGAAACTACTTTGTGATGTGTGCGTTCAACTCACAGAGTTGAAACTTCATTTCGATAGAGGAGTTTTGAAACTCTCTTTTTTTAGAATTTCCACGTCGATGTTTAGAGCCTTATCAGGCCTATGGAAGAAAAGGAAATATCTCAATAGAAAAACTAGACAGAATGATTTTCAGAATCTACTTTGTGATGTGTGCGTTCACCTCACACAGTTTAACCTTTCTTTTCATACAGCAGTTCTGAAACACTCTTTTTGTAGAATCTGCAAGAGAACATTTGGAATTTTTTGAGGCCTTCGTTGGAAAGGGGGTTTATTCATATAAAACTTGAAAGAAGAATTCTCAGACACTTCTTTCTGATGTGTGCATTCAACTCCCAGAGATGAATCTTCCTTTCGATAGAGCAGTTTTGAAATACAGTTTTTGTGGAATTTCCAAGTGGATATTTAGAACGGTTTGATGCCTTTGGTAGAAAAGGAAATATCTTCATAGGAAAACTAGAGAGAAACATTCTCAGAAACTGCTTTGTCATGTGTGCATTCAGCTTACAGCGTTTAACCTTTCTTTTGATAGAGCAGTTTTGAAAGGCTCTTTTTGAGTAATTTGCAAGACTATATAGATCTTTTGGGGCCTACGGTAGAAAACGAAATATCTTCACAAAAAATTAGACAGAAGCATTTTCAAAAACTACTTTGTGATATTTGCATTCAACTCACAGAGTTGAAAATTCTCCTTGAAAGAGCAGTTTTGAAATACTCTTTTTTCAGAATCTGCAATTTGGAACTCCTTGTGGTCTTCCTTTGAAATGTGATTTCTTCATATAAAACAAGACCGAGGAATTCTCAGAAGCTACTTTGTGATGTGTGCATTCAGCTTACAGAGTGAGTTTAACATTTCTTTTGATAAAGCAGATTTGAAACCCTCTTTTGGTGGAATTTGCAAGTGTATATTTAGAGCGCTTTGAGGCCTATGGTAGAAAATGAAATATCTTCACAGAAAAACTAAACAGAGGCATTGTAAGAAACTACTTTTTGATATTTGCATTCAACTCACAGAGTTGAACTGCTCTTGATGGAGCAGTTTTGAAACACTCTACTTGTAGAATCTGCAAGTGTATATTTGGACCTCTTTGTGGCCTTCCTTTGAAACGTGATTTCTTCATATAAAACAAGACAGAAGAATTCTCAGAAACTTCTTTGTGATGTGTGCATTCCACTCACAGAGTTGAACCTTTGTTTCGATAGAGCAGTTTTGAAATTCTCTTTTTGTAGAATTTCCAAGGTAATATTAAGCATCGTTTGAGGCCTCTGGTAGAAAAGGAAATATCTTCATAGAAAACCAAGACAGAATGATTCTCAGAAACTACTTTGTGATGTGTGAGTTCCACTCACAGAGTTTAACCTTTCTTTTGATAGAGCAGTTTTGAAACACTCTTTTTGTAGAATCTGAAAGTGAATATTTGGACTTTTTTGAGGCCTTACTTGCAAACGGGATTTCTTCATATAAAATTTGACAGAAGAATTCTCGGAAATTTCTTTGTGATGTGTGCATTGAACACACAGAGTTGAACCTTCCTTTAGATAGAGCAGTTTTGAAATACTCTTTTTGTAGTATTTCCAAGTGGATATTTAGATCGGTTTGGGGCCCGTGGTAGAAAAGGAAATATTTCATAGAAAAAGTAGAATCATTCTCAGAAACTGCTTTGTGATGTGTGCATTCAGGTTACAGTGTTTAACCTTTCTTTTCTTAGAGCCGTTTTGAAAAACACTTTTTGTATAACCGGCAGGTGAATATTTGTCCTTTTTGGGGGCCTTCGTAGGAAACGGGATTTCTTCAAATAAAACTTGACAGAAGAATTATCAGAAACTTCGTTTTGATGTGTGCATTCAACTCAAAGAGTTAAACCATCCTTTCGATAGAGCAGTTTTGAAATACTCTTTTTTTAGAATTTCCAAGTGGATATTTAGAGCGGTTTGAGGCCTTTGGTATAAAAGGAAATATCTTCATAGAAAAACTAGACACAATCATTCTCAGAAACTACTTTGTTATGTGAGCATTCAGCTTACGGAGTTTAATATTTCAATTGATAAAGCAGTTTTGAAACACTCTTTTTGTGGAATTTGCAGGTGTATATTTACAGCGCTATGAGGCCTACGGTAGGAAAGGAATTATCTTCAAATAAAAACTAGTCAGAAGCATTGTCAGAAACTAATTTGTGATATTTGCATTCAACTCACAGAGTTGAACATTCCTATTGATAGAGCAGGTTTGAAATACTCTTTTTGTAGAATCTGCCAGTGAATATTTGGAACTCTTTGTGGCCTTCGTTTGAAACGTGATTTCCTCATATAAAACTAGACAGAAGAATTCTCAGGAACTTCTTTGTGATGTGTGCTTTCAACTCACAGAGTTGAACCTTCGTTTAGATAGAGCTGTTTTGAAACTCTCATTTTGTAGAATTTCCAAGTGGATATTTAGCGCCCTTTGAGGCCTATGATAGAAAAGACAATATCTTCATTGAAAAACTAGACAGAATATTTCTCAGAAACTAGTTTGTGATGTATGTGTTTAATTCACAGAGGTTAACCTTTCTTTTGATAGAGCAGTTTTGAAACACTCTTTTTTGTAGAATCTGCAAGTGAAGATTTGGCCTTTTTGGGGGCCTTCATTGGAAACGGGTTTTCTTCATATAAAACTTGACAGAAGAATTCTCAGAAACTTCTTTGTGATGTGTGCATTCAACTCATAGAGTTGAATCTTCCTTTAGATAGACCAGTTTTTAAACACTCTTTTGGTATTATTTCCAAGTGGATATTTAGAGTCGTTGTAGGCCTGTTATAGAAAAAGAAATATCTTCATAGAAAAACTAGACAGAATCATTGTCAGAAACTACTTTGTGACGTGTTCATTCAGCATACAGTGTTTAAGCTTTCTATTGTTAGAGCAATTTTGAAACACCCTTTTTGTGGAATTTGCAAGTGTATATTTAGAGCGCTATGAGGCCTACGGTAGGAAAGGAAATATCTTCAAAGAAAAACTAGACAGAAGCATTGTAAGTAACTAGTTTGTGATATTGGCATTCATCCCACAGAGTTGAACATTCCTCTTCATAGAGCAGTTTTGAAACACTCTGTTTGTAGAATCTGTCAGCGGATATTTGGACCTCTTTGCGTCCTTCGTTTGAAACGTGATTTCTTCATATAAATATATACAGAAGAATTCTCAGAAACTTTTTTGATGTGTGCTTCAACTCACAGAGTTGAACTTTCCTTTCGATACAGCAGTTTTGAAACTCTTTTTTTGTAGAAATTCCAAGTGGATATTTAGCCCCTTTTGAGGCCTATGGTTGAAAATGCAATATCTTCATAGAAAAACAAGACTGAATGATTCTCAGAAGCTTCTTTGTGATGTGTGCTTTCAACTCACAGAGTTTAAACTATCTTTTGATACAGCAGTTTTGAAACACTCTTTTTGTGGAATTTGCAAGTGTATGTTTAGAGAGCTTTGAGGCCAAACCTAGAAAAGGAATTATCTTCACATAAAAACTAGACAAAAGCATTGCCAGAAACTACTTTGTGATATTTGCATTCAACTCACAGAGTTGAACATTGTTCTTGATAGAGCAGCTATGAAACACTCTTTTTGAAGGATCTGCGAGTGGATATTTCGACCTCTTTGTGGTCTTTGTTTGAAACGTGATTTCTTAATACAAAACAAGACAGAAGAATTCTCAGAAACTTCTTTGTGATGTGTGCTTTCAACTCACAGAGTTGAACCTTCCTTTCAATAGAGCAGTTTTGAAACGCTCTTTTTGTATAATTTCCAAGTGGACATTTAGCACCGTTTGAGGCCTATAGCAGAAAGGGCAATATCTTCATAGAAAAACTGGACAGAATGATTCTCAGAATCTACTTTGTGATGTGTGAGTTCAACTCTCTGACTTTAACCTTCTTTGATAGAGCAGTTTTGAAACTCTCGTTTGGTAGAATTTCCTAGTGGATATTTTGCGCTATTTGAGGCCTATGGTAGAAAAGGCCATATCTTCAAAGAAAAACTAGACAGAATGATTATCAGAAACTACGTTGTGATGTGTGCGTTTAACTCACAGAGTTTAACCTTTCTTTTCATAGAGTAGTTTTGAAACACTCTTTTTGTGGAATCTGCAAGTGAATAATTGGACTTTTGGGGGGCCTTCTTTGGAAACGGGATTACTTCATGTAAAACGTGACAGAACAATTCTCAGAAACTTCTTTGTGATGTGGGCATTCAACTCACAGTGTTGAACCTTCCTTTTGATAGAGCAGTTTTGAAATACTCTTTTTGCAGAATTTCCAACTGGATATTTTTTGCGTTTGGAGGACTGCTAGATAAGGAAGTATCTTCATAGAAAGACTAGACAGAATCATTGTAAGAAACTGTTTTGTGATGTGAGCATTCCGCTTACAGGGTTTAACATTTCTTTTGATGGAGCAGTTTGGAAACACTCTTTTTGTGGAATTTGCAAGTGTATATTTAGAGCGCTTTGAGGCCAACGGTAGAAAAAGAATTATCTTCACATAAAAACTAGACAGAAGCATTGTGAGAAACTACTTTGTGATATCTGATTTCAACTCACAGAGTTGAACATTCCTCTTGATAGAGCAGTTAGGAAACACTGTTTTTGTAGAATCTGCATGTGTATATTTGGACCTCTTTTTGGCCTTCATTTGAAACGTGATTTCTTCATATAAAACTAGACAGAAGCATTGTCAGGAACTACTTTGTGATGTGTGCTTTCAACTCACAGAGTTGAAACTTCCTTTCGATAGAGCAGTTTTGAAATACTCTTTTTGTAGTATTTCCAAGTGGATATTTAGAGTGGTTTGAGGCCTGTCGTACAAAAGGAAATATCTCATAGGAAAACTAGACAGAAACATTCTCAGAAACTACTTTGTGATGTGTGCATTCAGCTTACAGAGTTTAACATTCATTTGTTAGAGCAGTTTTGAAACACAGTTTTTGTGGAATTTGCAAGTATTTATTTAGAGCGCTTTGTGGCATTCGGTAGAAAAGGAATTATCTTAACATAAAAACTAGAAAGAATCTTTGTCAGAAACTACTACGTGATATTTGCATTCAATTCACGTAGCTGAACATTGCTCTTGATAGAGCAGTTTTGAAACACTCTTTTTTGTGAATCTGTGAGTGGATATTTTGACCTCTTTGTGGTCTTCGTTCGAAACGTGATTTCTTCATATAGTACTAGACAGAAGAAATCTCAGAAACTTCTTTGTGGTGTGTGCTTTCAACTCATAGAGTCGAAACTTCCTTTTGATAGAGCAGTTTTCAAACTCTCTTTTTGTAGAATTTCCAAGTGGATATTGAAGCGCCGTTTTAGACCTATGGTAGAAAAAGCAATATCTTCATAGAAAAACAAGACAGAATGATTCTCAGAAACTACTTTGTGATGTGTGCTTTCAACACACAGAGTTTAACTTTCTTTTGATAGAGCAGTTTTGAAACACTCTTTTTATAGAATCTGCAAGTAAATATTTGGACATTTTTGGGGCCTTCATTGGAAACGGGATTTCTTCACATAAAACTTGACAGAAGAATTCTCAGAAACTTCTTTGTGATGTGTGCATTCAACTCACAGAGTTGAACATTCCTTTCGATAGAGCAGTTTTGAAGCACTCTTTTTGTAGAATTTCCAATTTTATATTTAGAAAGGTTTGAGGCCTGTGGTAGAAAAGGAAATATCTTCATAGAAAAACTAGACAGAATCATTCTCCGAAACTACTTTGTGATGTGTGCATTCAGCTTACAGAGTTTAACATTCATTTGACAGGGCAGTTTTAAAACACTCTTTTTGTGGAATTTGTCAGTGTATATTTAGAGGGCTTTGGGACCTACGGTAGAAAAGGAATTATCTTTACATAAAAACTAGAGAGAAGCACTGTCCGAAACTACTTTGTGATATTTGTAATCAACTCACTGAGTTGAACATTACCCTTGATAGAGTTGTTTTGAAACACTGCTTTTGTAGAATCTGCAGGTGGATATTTGGACCTCAAGTGGCCTTTTTTGAAATGTGATTTCTTCATATAATACAACACAGAATAATTCTCAAAAACTTCTTTGTGATGTGTGCTTTCAACTCACAGATTTAAACCTTCCTTTTGGTAATACAGTTTTGAAAGTCCCTCTTTGTAGAATTTCCAAGTGGATATTTAGCGCCGTCAGAGGCCTACGGTAGACAAAGTAATATCTTCATAGAAAAACTAGACACAATGATTCTCAGAAACTACTTTGTGATGTGTGCGTTCAACTCACAGAGTTTAAACTTTCTTTTGATAGTGCAGTTTTGAAACACACTTTTGAGAGAATCTGCAGGAGAATATTTGGACTTTTTTGAGGCCTTCTTTGGAAAAGGTTTTCCTTCATATAAAACTTGACAGAAAAATTCTCAGAAACTTATTTGTGATGTGTGCATTCAACTTACAGATTTGTGCCTTCCTTTCGATTGACCAGTTTTGAAATACTCTTTCTGAAGAATTTCCAAGTGGATATTTAGAGCGATTTGAGGCCTGTGGTAAAAAAGCGAATGTCTTCTTAGAAAAACTAGAGAGAATCATTCTCAGAAACTGCTTTGTGATGTGTGCATTCAGCTAACAGAGTTTAACTTTCTTTTGATAGAGCAGTTTTGAAACACTCTTTCTGTGGAATTTACAAGTCTATATTTAAAGAACTTTGAGGCCTCCGGTAGAAAAGAAAATATCTTCACATAAAAACTAGACCGAAGCATTGTCAGAAACTACTTTGTGATATTTGCATTCAACTCACAGAGGTGAAAATTCCTTTTGATAGAAGAGTTTTGAAACTCTCTTTTTGTGGAATCTGCAAGTGGATATTTGGACCTCTTTGTGGCCTTCCTTTGAATCATGATTTCTTTATATAAAACTAGACAGAAGAATTCTCAGAATCTTCTTTGTGAAGTGGGTTTTCAACTCACAGAGTTGAAAATTCCTTTCGATAGAACAGTTTTGAGACTCTCATTTTTCAGAATTTCCAAGTGGATATTTAGCGCCGTTTAAGGCCTATTGTCGAAAAGGCCATATCTTCGTAGAAAAATTAGACATAATGCTTCTCAGAAACTACTTTGTGATGTGTGCGTTCAACTCACAGAGTTAAACCTTTCTTTTGATTGAGCAGTTTTGAAACACTCTTTTTGTAGAATCGGCAAGTGAATATTTGGACTTCTTGAGGCCTTCGTTGGAAACGGGAGTTCTTCATATAAAACTTGACAGAAGAATTCCATACACTACTTTGTGATGTGTGCATTCATCTCACAGAGTTGAACCTTCCTTTCGGTAGAGCAGTTTTGATATACTCCTTTTGTAGAATTTCCAAGTGGATATTTAGAGCAGTTTGAGGCCTGTCGTACAAAAGGAAATATCTCATAGGAAAACTAGACAGAATCATTCTTAGAAACTACTTTGTGATGTGTACATTCAGCTTACAGAATTTAACTTTTCTTTTGATAGAGCAGTTTTGAAACAATCTCTTTGTGGAATTTGCAAGTGTATATTTAGAGCGCTTTGAAGGCTTCTGTAGAAACTGAAATATCTTCACATAAAAACGAGACGGAAGCTTTGTCAGAAACTAGTTTGTGATATTGGCATTCAACTCACAGAGTTGAAAATTAGTCTTGATAGAGCAGTTTTGAGACACTCATTTTGTTGAATTTCCAAGTGGATATTTAGCACGGTTTGAGGCCTATGGTAGAAAAGGAAATATCTTCATAGAAAAACCAGTCAGAATGATTCTCAGAAACTACTCTGTGATGTGTGTATTCAACAGAGAGTGTTTAACTTTGCTTTTCATAGAGGAATATTGAAACACTCATTTTGTAGAATCTGCAATGAATATTTGGACTTTTTAGAGCCCTTCGTTGGAAACGGGATTTCTCCATATAAAACTTGACAGAAGAATTCTCAGAAACTTCTTTCTGATGTGTGCATTCAACTCACAGTGTTGAACCGTCCTTTCGTTAGAGCAGATTTGAAATACTCTTTGTAGTATTTCCAAGTGGATATTATGGGCGGTTTGGGGCCTATGGTACAAAAGGAAATATCTTCATAGAAAAACTACACAAAATCATTCTCAGAAACTCCTTTGTGATGTGTGCATTCAGCTTACAGAGTTTAACCTTTCTTTTGATAGAGCAGTTTTGAAACACTCTTTTTGTGGAATTTCCAAGTCCATAATTAGCACCGTTTTAGGCCTGTGGTAGAAAAGGAAATATCTTCATAGAATGACTAGACAGAATGATTCTCAGAAACTAATTTGTGATGTTTGCGTTCTACTCACAGAGTTTAATCTTTCTTTTGATAGAGCAGTTTTGAACCACTTTTTTTGTAGAAACTACAAGTGAATATCCGGACTTTTATGAGGTCATTGTTGGAAACAGGATTTCTTCATATAAAATATGACAGAAGAATTCTCAGAAAATTCTTTGTGATGTGTGCTTTCAACTCACAAAGTTGAACCGTCCTTTCGATACAGCAGTTTTGAAACTCTCTTTTTGTAGAATTAACAAGTGAATATTTAGGGCCGTTTGAGGCCTATGGTAGAAAAGGCACTATCTTCATAGAAAAACAAGACAGAAAGATTCTCAGAAACTACTTTGTGATGTGTGCATTCTACTCACAGAGTTTAACATTTCTTTTGATAGAGCAACTTTGAAGCACTATTTTTGTAGAATCTGCAAGTGAATATTTGGACTTTTTAGAGGCCTTCTTTGGAAAAGGGATTTTTTCATCTAAAACTTGACAGAAGAATTCTCAGAAACTTCTTTGTGATGTGTGCTTTCAACTCACTGTATTGAACCTTCCTTTAGATAGAGCAGTTCTTAAATACTCTATTTGTAGGATTTCCAAGTGGATATTTAGAGCGGTTTGAGGCCTATGGTAGGAAATAAAATATATTCAGAGAAAAACTAGACAGTATCATTCTCCGAAACTACTTTGTGATGTGTGCATGCAGCTTACATAGTTTAACGTTCCTTTTGATAGAGCAGTTTTGAAACATTCTTTTTGGGGAATTTGCAAGTGTATATTTAGAGCGCTTTGAGGTCTACGGTAGAAAAGGAAATATCTTCACATAAAAAATAGACAGAAGCATTGTCGGAAACTACTTCGTGATATTTGCCTTCAACTCACAAAGTTGATCATTCCTCTTGATAGAGCAGTTTTGAAACACTTTTTTAGTAGAATCTGGAGGTGGATATTTGGTCCTCTTTGTAGCATTCCTTTGATACGTGATTTCTTCATATACAACTAAAGAGAAGAATTCTCAGAAACATCTTTGTGATGTGTGCTTTCAACTCACAGAGTTGAACCTTCCTTTCGATAGAACAGTTTTGAAATTCATTTTGTAGAATTTCCAAGTAGATATTTAGTGCCGTTTGAGGACTATGGTGGAAAAGGAAATATCTTCATAGAAAAACTAGACAGAATGATTCTCAGAAACTACTTTGTGGTGTGTGTGTTCACCTCACAGAGTTTAACCTTTCTTTTGATAGAGCAGTTTTGAAACACTCTTTTTGTAGAATCTGTAATGGAATATTTGGATTTTTTGAGGCCTTCTTTGGAAAAGGGATTTCTTCATATAAATGTTAACAGAAGAAATCTCAGAAACTTTTTGTGAAGTGTGAATTCACCTCACAGAGTTGTACCTTCCTTTCGATAGACCAGTTTTGAAATACTCTTTTTGCAGAATTTCCAAGTAGATGATATTTAGAGCGGTTTGAGGCCTGTGGCAGAAAAGGTAATATCTTCATAGAAAAACTAGAGAGAATCATTCTCAGAAACTAGTTTTTGATGTGTGCATTCAGCTTATATAGTTTAACCTTTCTTTTTATACAGCAGTTTTGAAAAACTCTTTTTGTGGAATTTGGAAATGTATATTTAGAGTGCTTTGAGGCCTACGGTAGAAAAGGAATTATCTTCACATAAAAACTAGATAGAAGCATTATCAGAAACTAATTTTTGATATTTGTATTCAACTCACAGAGTTGAACATTCCTCTTGATAGAGCAGTTTTGAAACACTCTTTTTGTACAATCTGCGATTCGATATTTGCACCTCTTTGTGTCCTTCGTTTGAAAAGTGATTTCTTCATATAAAACTAGACAGAAGAATTTTCAAAATCTTCTTTGAGATGTGTGCTTTCAACTCACAGAGTTGTACCTTCCTTTCGATAGAGGAGTTTTGAAACTCTCTTTTTGTAGTATTTCCAAGTGGATATTTAGCGCTGTTTGGGGCCTGTGGTAGAAAAGGCAATATCTTCATAGAAAAACTAGACAAAATGATTCTCAGAAACTACGTTGTGATGTGTGCGTTCAACTCACAGAGTTTAACCTTTCATTCGATAGAGAGGTTTTGAAACAATCTTTTTGTTGAATCTGCAAGTGAATATTTGGAGTTGTTTGAGGCCTTCGTTGGAAATGGGATTTCTTCCTATAAAACTTGACAGAGGAACTCTCAGAAGCTTCTTTGTGATGTGTGCATTCACCTCACAGAGTTGAACCTTCCTTTCCATAGAGCAGTTTTGAAATACTCTTTTTATTGTATTTCCAAGCGGATATTTAGAGCGGTTTGAGGCCTATGGTAGAAAAGGAAATATCTTCACTGAAAAATTATTCAGAATCATTCTCAGAAAGTACTTTTTGTTGTGTGCATTCAGCTTACATAGATTAAACATTCTTTGATAGAGCAGTTTGGAAACTCACTTTTTGTGGAATTTCCAAGTGTATATTGTGAGTGCTTTGAGGCCTACGGTAGAAAAGGAAATATGTTCACAAAAAAACAAGACGGAAGCATTGTCAGAAACTACTTTGAGATATTTGCATTCAACCCACAGAGTTTAACATTCCTCTTGATAGAGCAGTTTTGAAACACTCTTTTTGCAGAATCTGCAAGTGGATATTTGAACCTCTTTGTGGCCTTCGTTTGAAACATGATTTCTTCACACAAAACTAGAGAGAGGAATTCTCAAAAACTTCTTGTGATTTGTGCTTTCAACTCTCAGATTGAAAATTACTTTCGATAGAGCAGTTTTGAAACTCTCTTTTTGTAGGATTTCCAAGTGGATATTTAACGTCATTTGAGGACTCTGGTAGAAAAGGTAATATCCTCATAGAAAAACTAGACAGAATGATTCTCAGAAACTGCTTTTTGATGTGTGCCTTCAACTCACAGAGTTTAAACTTCCTTTAGATAGAGCAGTTTTGAAACACCTTTTTGTAGAATCTGTAAGTGAATATTTGGACTTTTTTGAGGCCTTCATTGGAAACGGGATTTCTTCATATAAAACCTGACCGAAGAACTCTCAGAAACTTCTTTGTAATGTGTGCATTCAAGTCACAGAGTTCAACTTCCTTTTGATAGTGCTGTTTAGAAATAGTCTTTTTGTAGGATTTCGAAGTGGATATTTAGTGCGGTTTGAGGCTTGTTGTAGAAAAGGATATATCTTCATAAAAAACCTAGATAGAATCATTCTCAGAAACTAATTTGGTATGTTTGCATGCAACTTACGGAGATTAACATTTCTTTGGTTAGAGCAGTTTGGAAACACTCTTTTTGTGGAATTTGCAAGTGTATATTTAGAGCGCTTTGAGGCCTCCGTTGGAAAAGGAAATATCTTCACATAAAAACAAGACAAAAGCATTGTCAGAAACTACTTCGTGATGTTTGCATTCAACTCACAGAGTTGAACATTCCTCTTGACAGAGCAGTTTGGAAACACTCTTTTTGTAGAATCTGCAAGTGGATATTTGCACCGCTTTGTGCCCTTCGTTTGAAACGTGATTGCTTCGTTTGAAACGTGTTTGCTTCATTTAAAACTAGACAGAGGAATTCTCAGAAATTTCTTTGTGATGTGTGCTTTCAACTCACAGAGTTGAACCTTCCTTTGGATTTAGGAGTTTTGAACTCTCGTTTTGTAGAATTTCCAAGTAGATATTTTGGGCCGTGCGAGGCCTACAGTAGAAAAGGCAATTTCTTCATAGAAAACCTAGACAGAATGATTCTCAGAAACTACTTTGTTATGTGTGCGTTCAACTCACAGAGTTTAACCTTTCTTTTGATAGAGTTTTGAAACACTCTTTTTGAAGAATCTGCAAGTGAATATACGGATTTTTTTGAGGCCTTCGTTGGAAGAGGGATTTCTTCATATAAAACTTCGCAGAAGGATTCTCAGAATCTTATTTTTGATGTGTGCATTCAACTCACAAAGTTGTACCTTCCTTTCAATAGAGCAGTTTTGAAATAATTTTCTGTAGAATTTCCAAGTGGATATTTAGAGCGATTTGAGGCCTATGGCAGAAAAGGAAATATCTTCATATAAAAACTAGACAGAATCCTTCTCAGAAACTACTTTGTGATGTGTGCATTCTGCTAAAAGGATTTAAACTTTGTTTTGATAGAGCAGTTTTGAAACACTCTTTTTGTGGAATTTGCAAGTGTATAATTTATAGCGCTTTGATGCCTGTGTTAGAAAGGAAATATCGTCACATAAAAACTAGACAGAAGCACTGTCAGAAACAACTTTGTGATATTTGCATTCAACTCACAGAGTTGAACATTCCTCCTGATAGAGCAGTTTTGAAACCCTCTTTTTGTAGAATCTGCAAGTGGATATTTTGACCTCTTTGTGGCCTTCCTTTGAAACGTGATTTCTTCATATGAAACTAGACAGAAGAATTCTCAGAAAATTCCTTGTGGTGTGTGCTTTCAAATCACAGAGTTGAACCTTCCTTTCGATAGAGCAGTTTTGAAACTGTCTTTTGTAGAATATCCAAGTGGATATTTAACGCCGTTTGAGGCCTTTGGTAGAAAAGGCATTATCCTCATAGGAAAACTAAACAGAAATATTCTCAGAAACTACTTTGTGATCTGTGCGTTCAACTCTCAGAGTTTAACCTTCCTTTTGACAGAGCAGTTTTGAAACACACTTTTTGTAGAATCTGCAAGTGAATATTTGGACTTTTTTCAGGCTTTCATTGGGAAAGGGATTTCTTCATATCAAACTTGACAGAATTCTCAGAAACTTCTTTGTGATGTGTGCATTCGACTAGCAGTGTTGAACCTTCCTTTCGATACAGCAGTTTTGAAAAACTCTTTTTGTAGAATTTCCAGGTGGATATTTAGAGCGGTTTGAGGTCTCTTTTAGAAAAGGAAATGTCCTCATAGAAAAACTAGACAAAATCATTCTCAGAAACTACTTTGTTATGTGTGCATTCAGCTTACCGAGTTTAACCTTTCTTTTGATAGAGCAGTTGGGAAACACTCTTTTTGTGGAATTTGCAAGGGTATATTTAGAGCGCTTTGAGGACTACGGTAGAAAAGGAAATATCTTCATATAAAAAGTAGACAGAAGCATTGTCAGAAACTACTTTGTGATATTTGCATTCAACTCACAGAGTTGAACATTCCTCTTGATAGAGCAGTTTTGAAACACACTTTTTGTAGAATCTGCAATTGTATATTTGTACCTCTTTGTGGCCTTTCTTTGAAACGTAATGTCATCATATAAAACTAGACAGAATAATTCTCAGAAACTACTTTGTGATGTGTGATTTCAGCTTACAGATTTGAACCTTCCTTTCGATATAGCAGTTTTGAAATACTATTTTTGTAGAAATTAAAAGTGGTTATGTAGAGCGGTTTGAGGCCTGTGGTAGAAAAGGAAATATCTGCATAGAAAAACTAGACAGAATCATTCTCAGAAAGTACTTTGCAAGAGTGCATTCATCTTACAGAGTTTAACCTTTCATTTGATAGAGCAGTTTTGAAACACTCTTTTTGTGGAATTTGCAAGTGTATATTTAGAGCGATTTGAAGACTACGGTAGAAAAGCAAATATCTTCAAATAATAACTAGACAGAAGCATTGTCAGAAACTACTTTGTAATATTTGCATTCAACTCACAGAGTTGAACATTCCTCCTGATAGAGCAGTTTTGAAACCCTCTTTTTGTAGAATCTGCAAGTGGATATTTGGACTTCTTTGTGGCCTTTTTTTGAAACGTGATTTCATTTTATAAATCTAAACTGAAGAATTCTCAGAAACTTCTTTGTGATGTGTGCTTTCAACTCACATAGTTGAAGCTTCCTTTCGATAGAGCAGTTTTGGAAGTCTTTTTTTGTACAATTTCCATGTGGATATTTAGCGCCATTTGAGGCCTCTGTTAGAAAAGGAAATATCTTCATAGGAAAACTAGACAGAATGATTCTCAGAAACTACTTTGTGATGTGTGCTTTCAACTCACAGAGTTTAACCTTTCTTTTGACAGAGCAGTTTTGAAACACTCTTTTTGCAGGATCTGCAACTGAATATTTGGACTTTTACGAGGCCTTTTCGGAAACGGGAATTCTTCATATAAAACTTGACAGAAGAATTCTAAGAAACTTATTTGTGATGTGTGCATTCAACTCAGAGTTGAACCTTCCTTTCGATACAGCAGTTTTGAGACACTCTTTTTGTGGAATCTGCAAGTGAATATTTGGACATTTTTAGGCCTTCTTTGGAAAAGGGATTTCTTTACATAAAACCTGACAGAAGAATCCTCAGAAACTATTCTGTGACGTGTGCTTTCAACTCACAGCGTTGAACCTTCCTCTCGATAGAGCATTGTTGAAATCCTCCTTTTGTAGAATTTCCAAATGGATATTTAGTTCGTTTTGGGGCCTGTGGTAGAAAACGAAATATGTTCATAGAAAAACTAGACAAAATCATTCTCAGAAACTACTTTGTGATGTGGGCATTCAGCTTACAGGGTTTAACCTTTCTTTATATAGAGCAGTTTTGAAACAATCTTTTTGTAGTATTTGCAAATGTATATTTACAGCGCTTTGATGCCTATGGTAGAAAAGGAAATATCTTCACAGAAAAAATAGACAGAATCATTGTCAGAAACTGCGTTGTGATATTTGCATTCAACTCACAGGGTTGAACATTCCTCTTTATAGAGCAGTTTAAAACACTCTTTTTGTAGAATCTGTAAGTGGATATTTAGACTTCCTTGTGGCCTTCGTTTGAAACGTGATTTCTACATATGAAACTAGACAGAATAATTCTCAGAAACTTCTTTGTGATGTGTGCTTTCAACTCACAGATTTGAATCTATCTTTCGATAGAGCAGTTTTGAATCTCTCTTTCTGTAGAATTTCCAAGTGGATATTTAGCGCCGTTTGAGGCCTGTTGTAGAAAAGGAAATATCTTCATAGAAAAACTATACAGAATGATTGTCAGCAGCTACTTTGTGATGTGTGCGTTCAACTCCCATGGTTCAAACTTTCTTTTGATAGAGCAGATTTGAAACCCACTTTTTGTAGAATCTGCAAATGAATATTTCGGTTATTTTAAGGCCTTCTCTGGATACGGGATTTCTTCGTATAAAACGTGACAGAAGAATTCTCAGAAACTTCTAGTGATGTGTGCATTCAACTCACAGGTTTGAACCTTCCTTTCGATAGAGCAGTTTTGAAATACTATTTTTTTTGTAGTTTTTCCAAGTGGTTATTTAGAGTGGTTTGAGGTCTCTGGTAGAAAAAGAAATATCTTCACAGGAAAACTAGACAGAATCATTCTCAGAAACTTCTTTGTGATTTGGGCATTCAACTTACAGAGTTTAAATTTTCTTTTGATAGAGCAGTATTGAAACACTCTTTCTGTGGAATTTGCAAGTGTATATTTGGAGCTCTTTGAGAACTATTGTAGAAAAGGAAATATCTTCCCATAAAAACCAGACAGAAGCACTGTAAGAAACTGCTTTGTGATATTTGCACTCAACTCACAGAGTTGAATATTCCTCTTGATAGAGCAGTTTTGAAACATTCTTTTTGTAGAATCTGCGAGTGTATATTTGGACCTCTTTGTGGTCTTCTTTAGAAACGTGATTTCTTCGTATAAAACTACACAAAACAATTCTGATAAACTTCTTTGTGATGTGTGCTTTCAACTCACAGAGTTGAACCTTCATTTCGATAGAGCAGTTTTGAAATAATCTTCTTGAAGTATTTCCAAGTGAATATTTAGAGCGGCTTGAGGCCTGTGGTAGAAAAGGAAATATCTTCTTAGAAAAACTAGACAGAATCATTCTCAGATACTTCTTTGTGATGTGTGCATTCAGATAACAGAGTTTAATCTTTCTTTTCATTGAGCAGTTTTGAAACATTCTTTTTGTGGTATTTGTAAGTGTATATTTAGAGCGCTTTGAAGCCTACTTTTGAAAAGGAAATTTCTTCAAATAAAAACTAGACAGAAGCATTGTCAGAAACTACTTTGTAGTATTTGCAATCAACTCACAGAGTTGAATATTCCTCTTGACAGAGCAGTTCTGAAACACTCTTTTTGTAGAAACTGCAAGTGGATATTTCGACCTCTTTGTGGCCTTCGCTTGAAAAGTGATTTCTTCAAATAAAACTAGACAGAAGAATTCTCAGAAACTTCTTTGTGATGTGTGCTTTCAACTCATAGAGTTGATCCTTCCTTTCGATAGAGCAGTTTTGAAACTCTCATTTTGTAGAATTTCCAAGTGGATATTTATTGCCGTTTGAGGCCTATTGTAGAAAAGGCAATAATTTCATAGAAAAGCTAGACACAATCATTCTCAGAAACTACTTTGTGGTGTGTGCGTTCAACTCACAGAGTTTAACCTTTCTTTTGATAGAGCAGTTTAGAAAAACTCTTTTTGTAGAATCTGCAAGGGAATATTTCGACTTATTTCAGGCCTTCGTTGGAAACGGGTTTTATTCATACAAAACTTGACAGAAGAATTCTCGTTAACTTCTTTGTGATGTGTGCATTCAAGTCACAGAGTTGAACCTTCCTTTGGATAGAGAAGTTTTGAAATTCTCTTTTTGCAGAATTTCCAAGTGGTTATTTAGAGCGGTTTGAGGCCTATGGTAGAAAAGAAAATATCTTCATAGAAAAATTAGGCAGAATCATTCTCAGAAACTACTTTGTGATGTGTGCATTCAGCTTATACAATTTAACCTTTTTTTTGATACAGCAGTTTTGAAACCCTCTTTTTGTGGAATTTGGAAGTGTATATTTAGATGGCTTTGAGGCCTACAGTAGAAAAGGAAATATCTTCACATAAAAACAAGACAGAAGCATTGTCATAAACTACTTTGTGATATTTCCATGCAACTCACACAGTTGAACGTTCCTCTTGATAGAGCAGTTTTGAAACACTCTTTTTGTAGAATCTGCATGTGGATATTTGGACCTCTTTTTTGCCTTCCTTTGAAAAGTGATTTCTTCATATAGAACTAGACAGAAGAATTCTCAGAAAATTCTTTGTGATGTGTCCATTCAACTCTCAGAGTTGAACCTTCCTTTCAATAGAGCAGTTTTGAAATACTCTTTTTGTAGAATTTCCAAGTTGATGTTTAGCACCGTTTGAGGCATATGGTAGAAAAGGAAATATCTTGATAGAAAACCTGTACAAAATCATTCTGAAAAAACTACTTCCTGATGTGTGCATGAAGCTTACAGAGTTTAACCTTTCCTTTGATAGAGCAGTTTTGTAACACTCTTTTTGGGGAATTTGCAAGTGTATATTTAGAGCGCTTTGAGGGCTACGGTAGAAAAGGAAATATCTTCACAATAAAACTAGACAGAAGCATTGTCAGAAACTACTTTGTGATATCTGCATTCAACTCACAGAGCTGAACATTTCTTTTGATAGAGAAGTTTTGAAACTCTCTTTTTGTAGAATTTCCAGGTGTATATTTAGCACCGTTTGAGGCCTATGGTATAAAAGAACATATCTTCATAGAAAAATTAGACAGAAAGAGTCTCAGAAACTATTTTGTGATGTGTGCATTCAACTCACAGAGTTTAACCTTTCTTTTGATAGAGCAGTTTTGAAACACTCTTTTTGTAGAACCTGCAAGTGAATATTTGGACTTTTTAGAGGCCACTATTGAAAACGGGGTTTCTTCATATAAAACTTGACAGAAGAATTATCAGAAACTCCATTGTGATGTGTGCTTTCAACTCACAGAGTTGAAACTTCTTTTCGATAGAGCAGTTACGAAACTCTGTTTTTGTAGAATTTCCAAGTGGATATTTAGCACCGTTTGAAGCCTATGTAGTAAAGGCCGTATCTTCATGGAAAAACTAGACAGAATGATTCTCAGAAACTACTTTGTGATGTGTGCATTCAATTCACAGAGTTTAACCTTTCTTTTGATAGAGCAGTTTTGAAAGACTCTTTGTGTAGAATCTGCAAATGAATATTTGGATTTTTCTGAGGCCTTATTTGGCAACGGGATTTCTTCATATAAGACTTGTCAGAAGAATTCTCCGAAACTTCTTAGTGATGTGTGCATTCAACAGACAGAGTTGAACATTCCTTTCGATACAGCAGTTTTGAAATAATCTTTTTGTAGAATTTCCAAGTGGATATTTAGTGCGATTTGAGGCCAATGATTGAAAAGAAAATATCTTCATATAAAAACTAGACAGAATCATTCTCAGAAACTACTTTGTGATGGGTGCATTCAGCTTACAGTGTTTAAACTTTCCTTTGATAGAGCAGTTTTGAAACACTATTTTTGTGGTATTTGCAAGTGTCTATTTAGAGCGCTTTGAAGCCTAAGGTAGAAAAGAAATAACTTCAAATAAAAACTAGACAGAAGCATTGTCAGAAACTAATTTGCGATAGTTGCTTTCAACTCACAGTGTTTAACATTGCTCTTCATAGAGCAGTTTTGAAAAACTTTTTTTGTAGAACCTGCAAGTGGATATTTCGACCTCATTGTGGCCTTCGTTTGAAAAGTGATTTCTTCATATAAAACTAGAAAGAAGAATTCTCAGAAATTCTTTGTGATGTGTGCTTTCAACTCACAGAGTTGTATTTTTCTTTCGATAGAGCAGTTCTGAAACTCCTCTATTTTTGTAGAATTTCCTAGTGGATATTTACCACCGTTTGAGGCCAATTGTAGAAAAGGAAATATCTTCATAGAAAAACTAGACAGAATGATTCTCTGAAACTACATTGTGATATGTGCGTTCAACTCACAGAGTTTTATCTTTCTTTTGATAGAGCAGTTTTGAAACACACAATTTGTAGAATCTGCAAGTGAATATTTGGACTTTTCGAGGTCTTCATTGGAAACGGAATTCCTTGAAATAAAACTGGACAGAAGAATTCTCAGAAACTTCATTGTGATGTGTGCATTCAACTCACAGAGTTGAAACTTCCTTTCGATAGAGCACTTTTGAAATACTCTTTTTTTAGAATTTCCAAGTGGATATTTAGAGCAGTTTGAGGCCTCTGGTAGAAAAGGAAATATCTTCATAGAAAAGCTAGACAGAATCATTCTCAGAAACTACTTTGTAATGTGTGCATTAAGCTTGCAGCTGTTAACCTTCCTTTTGATAGAGCAGTTGTGAAACACTATTTTGTGGAATTTGCAAATGTACATTTAGAGCGCTTTGAAGCCTATGGTAGAAAAGGAAATATCTTCACCTAAATATTAGACAGAAGCATTGTCATAAACTATTTTGTGATATTTGCATTCAACACACAGAGTTGAACATTCCTCTTGATAGACCAGTTTTGAAACACTCTTTTTGTAGAATCTGCTGGTGGATATTTGGACCTCTTTGTGACCTTTTTTTGAAACGTGATTTCTTCATTTAAAACTAGACAGAAGATTTCTCAGAAACTTATTTCTGAAGTGTGCTTTCAACTCTCAGTGTTGAACCTTCCTTTCGATAGAGCAGTTTTGAAACTCTCTTATTGCAGTATTTCCAAGTTGATATTTAGAGCAGTTTGAGGCCTAAGGTAAATAAGGAAATATCTTCATAGAAAAACTAAACAGAATCATTCTCAGAAACTACTTTGTGATTTGTGCGTTCAACTCACTGAATTTAAATTTTCTTTTGATAGAACAGTTTTGAAACACTCTGTTTGTAGAATCTGCAAGTGAATATTTGGACTTTCTTGAGGCCTTCTTTGGATGCGGGATTTCTTCATATAAAATTTGACAGAAGAATTCTCAGAAACATCTTTGTAATATGTGCATTGAACACACAGGTTTGAACCTTCCCTTCGATAGAGCAGTTTTTAAATACTCTTTTTTTAGAATTTCCTAGTGTATATTTAGAGCGTTTTGAGGCCCATAGTAGAAAAGGAAATATCTTCAAAGAAACTCTAGACAGAATCATTCTCAGAAATTTCTTTGTGATGTGTGCATTCAGCTTACAGAGTTCAACCTTTCTTTTCGTGGACCAGTTTTGAAACATTCTTTTTGTGGAATTTCCGAGTGTATATTTAGAGCGCTATGAGGCATACGGTAGAAAAGGAAATGTCTTCATGTAAAAACTAGACAGAAGTATTGTCAGAAACTACTTTGCGATATTTGCATTCAACTAACAGAGTTGAACATTCCTCGTGATAGAGCAGTTTTGAAACACTCTTTTTGTAGAATCTGCAAGTGGATATTTGTAACTCTTTGTGGCCTTCTTTTGAAACGTCATTTTTTCATATAAAATGAGACAGAAGAATTCTCAGAAACTACTTTGTGGTGTGTGCGTTCAACTCACAGACTTTAACCTTTCTTTTGATAGAGCAGTTTTGAAACTCTCTTTTTGTGGAATTTGCAAGTGTATATTTAGAGCGCTTTGAGGCCTAAGGCAGAAAAGGAAATACCTTCACATAAAAACTAGAGAGAAACATTGTCAGAAAATACTTTGTGATATTTGCATTCACTCAAAAGCTAAACATTCCCATTGATAGGGCAGTTATGAAACAGTCTTTTGGTTTAGGATTGCCTTGGCGATGCGGGCTCTTTTTTGGTTCCATATGAACTTTAAAGTTGTTTTTTCCAATTCTGTGAAAAAAGTCATTGGTAGCTTGATGGGGATGGCATTGAATCTGTAAATTACCTTGGGCAGTATGGCCATTTTCACGATATTGATTCTTCCTACCCATGAGCATGGAATGTTCTTCATTTGTTTGTATCTTCTTTTATTTCCTTGAGCAGTGGTTTGTAGTTCTCCTTGAAGAGATCCTTCACATCCCTTTTAAGTTGGATTCCTAGGTATTTTATTCTCTTTGAAGCAATTGTGAATGGGAGTTCACTCATGATTTGGCTCTCTGTTTGTCTGTTATTGGTGTATAAGAATGCTTGTGATTTTTGTACATTGATTTTGTATCCTGTGACTTTGCTGAAGTTGCTTATCAGCTTAAGGAGATTTTGGGCTGAGACAATGGGGTTTTCTAGATTTACAATCATGTCGTCTGCAAACAGCGACAATTTGACTTCCTCTTTTCCTAATTGAATACCTTTTATTTCCTTCTCCTGCCTAATTGCCTGGCCAGAACTTCTAACACTATGTTGAATAGGAGTGGTGAGAGAGGACATCCCTGTCTTGTGCCAGTTTTCAAAGGGAATGCTTCCAGTTTTTGCCCATTCAGTATGATATTGGCTGTGGGTTTGTCATAGATAGCTCTTATGATTTTGAATTACGTCCCATCAATACCTAATTTCTTGAGAGTTTTTAGCATGAAGCGTTGTTGAATTTTGTCAAAGGCTTTTTCTGCATCTATTGAGATAATCATGTGTTTTTTGTCTCTGGCTCTGTTTATATGCTGGATTACATTTATTGATTTGCATATATTGAACCAGCCTTGCATCCCAGGGATGAAGCCCACTTGATCATGGTGGATAAGCTTTTTGATGTGCTGCTGGATTTGTTTTGCCAGTATTTTATTGAGGATTTTTGCATCAATGTTCATCAAGGATATTGGTCTAAAATTCTCTTTTTTTGTTGCGTCTCTGCCCGGCTTTGGTATCAGAATGATGCTGGCCTCATAAAATGAGTTAGGGAGGATTCCCTCTTTTTCTATTGATTGGAATAGTTTCAGAAGGAATGGTACCAGGTCCTCCTTGTACCTCTGATAGAATTCGACTGTGAATCCTTCTGGTCCTGGACTCTTTTTGGTTGGTAAGCTATTGATTATTGCCACAATTTCAGCTCCTGTTATTGGTCTATTAAGAGATTCAACTTCTTCCTGGTTTAGTCTTGGGAGAGTGTATGTGTCAAGGAATTTATCCATTTCTTCTAGATTTTCTAGTTTATTTGCGTAGAGGTGTTTGTAGTATTCTCTGATGGTAGTTTGTATTTCTGTGGGATCGGTGGTGATATCCCCTTTACAATTTTTTAATTGTGTCTATTTGATTCTTCTCTCTTTTTTTCTTTATTAGTCTTGCTAGCGGTCTATCAATTTTGTTGATCCTTTCAAAAAACCAGCTCCTGGATACATTAATTTTTGAAGGGTTTTTTGTGTCTCTATTTCCTTCAGTTCTGCTCTGATTTTAGTTATTTCTTGCCTTCTGCTAGCTTTTGAATGTGTTTGCTCTTGCTTTTCTAGTTCTTTTAATTGTGATGTTAGGGTGTCAATTTTGGATCTTTCCTGCTTTCTCTTGTGGGCATTTAGTGCTATAAATTTCCCTTTACACACTGCTGTGGATGCGTCCCAGAGATTCTGGTATGTTGTGTCTTTGTTCTCGTTGGTTTCAAAGAACATCTTTATTTCTGCCTTCATTTTGTTATGTATCCAGTAGTCATTCAGGAGCAGGTTGTTCAGTTTCCATGTAGTTGAGCGGTTTTGAGTGAGATTCTTAACCATGAGTACTAGTTTGATTGCACTGTGGTCTGAGAGATAGTTTGTTATAATCTCTGTTCTTTTATATTTGCTGAGGAGAGCTTTACTTCCAACTATGTGGTCAATTTTGGAATAGGTGTGGTGTGGTGCTGAAAAAAATGTATATTCTGTTGATTTGGTGTGGAGAGTTCTGTAGATGTCTGTTAGGTCCGCTTGGTGCAGAGCTGAGTTCAATTCCTGGGTATCCTTGTTGACTTTCTCTCTCGTTGATCTGTCTAATGTTGACAGTGGGGTGTTAAAGTCTCCCATTATTAATGTGTGGGAGTCTAAGTCTCTTTGTAGGTCACTCAGGACTTGCTTTATGAATCTGGGTGCTCCTGCATAGGGTGCATATATATTTAGGATAGTTAGCTCTTCTTGTTGAATTGATCCCTTTACCATTATGTAATGTTGGTAGAATCTCCCAGTGGATGATTGGATCTCTTTGTGGCCATCGTTTGAAACGTGATTTCTTCATATAAAACTAGACAGAAGAATTCTCAGAAACTTCTTTGAGATGTGTACTTTCAACTCACAGAGTTGAACCTTCCTTTCGATGCAGCAATTTTTAAACTCTCTTTTTGAGGTATTTCCAAGAGGATATTAACGTCGTTTGCGGCCTATGGTAGAAAAGGCAATAATTTCCTAGAACAACTAAATAGAATGATTCTCAGAAACTACTTTGTGGTGTGTGCGTTCAACTCACAGATTTTAACATTTCTTTTGATAGATCAGTTTAGAAACACTCTTTTTGCAGAATCTGCAAGGGAATATTTGGACTGTTTTGAGGCCTTCTTTTTAAACGGGATTTCTTCATATAAAACTTGACAGAAGAATTCTCAGAAACTTATTTGTGATGTGTGCATTCAACTCACGGGGTTGAACGTTCCTTTCGGTAGAGCAGTTTGAAATACTCTTTTTGTCGGGTTTCCAAGTGGATATTTACAGCGGTTTGAGGACTGTGGTAGAAAAGGAAATATCTTCATAGAAAAACTAGAGAGAATCATTCTCAGAAAGTACTTCCTGATGTGTGAACTCTCAGCTTACAGAGTTCAACCTTTCTTTTGATAGGGCAGTTTTAAAACACACTTTTTGCGGAATCTGCAAGTGTATATTTAGAGCGCTTTGAGGCCCACAGTAGAAAAGGAAATATCTTCACATAAAAACTAGACAGAAGCATTGTTAGAAACTAATTTGTGATATTTGCATTCAACTCACAGAGTTGAACATTCCTCTTGATAGAGCAGTTTTGAAACACTCTTTTAGTAGAATCTGCAAGTGGGTATTTGGACCTCTTTGTGGCCTTCGTTTGAAACACGATTTCTTCACATAAAACTAGACAGAAGAATTCTCAGAAACTTCTTTGTGATGTATGCTTTCAACTCACAGAATTGAACATTCCTTTCGATAGAGCAGTTTTGAAACCCTCTTTTTGTAGAATTTCCAAGTGGATATTTAGCGCCATTTGACGCCTAAGTTAGAAAAAGCAATGTCCTCATTGAAAAACTAGACAGAATGTTTCTCAGAAACTACTTTGTGGTGTGTGCGTTCAACACAGAGAGTTTAACATTTATTTTGATACAGCAGTTTTGAAACCCTCTTTTTGTGGAATTTGCAATTGTATATTTAGAGCGCTTTGAGGCCTACGGTAGAAAAGGAAATATCTTCACATAAAAACTAGACAGAAGCATTGTCAGAAACTACTTTGTGATATTTGCATTCACTCACAGAGCTGAACATTCCCCTTGATAGGGCAGTTTTGAAACAATCTTTTTGTAGAATGTGTAAGTGGATAATTGGACCTCTTTGTGTCCATCTTTTGAAACGTGATTTCTTCATATAAAACTAGACAGAAGAATTCTCAGAAACCTCTTTGGGATGTGTGCTTTCAACTCACAGAGTTGAACCTTCCTTTCGATACTGCAGTGTTGAAGCTCTCCTTTTGTAGAATTTCCAAGTGGATATTTAGCACCGTTTGAGGCCTCTGGTAGAAAAGACAATAATTTCATAGAAAAACCAGACAGAATGATTCTCAGAAACGACTTTGTGGTGTGTGCGTCCAATTCAAAGATCTTAACCTTTCTTTTGATAGAGTAGTTTTGAAACACTCTTTTTGTAGAATCTGCTAGTGAGTATTTGGACTTTTTTGAGGCCTTCGTTGGAAACGGGATTTCTTCATAAAAAACTTGAGAGAGGAATTCTCAGAAACTTTCTTGTGATTTGTGCATTTAGATCCCAGAGTTGAAATTTCATTTCGATAGAGCAGTTTTGAAATAATCTTTTTGTAGACATTCCAAGTGGATATTCAGAGCGGTTTGTGGCCTGTGGTAGAAAAGGAAATATCTTCATAGAAAAACTATACAGAATCATTCTCAGAACCTCCTTTGTGATGTATGCATTCAGCTTAGAGTGATTAACCTTTCTTTTTATAGAGCAGTTTTGAAATACTCTTTTTGTGGAATTTGCAAGTGTATATTTAGAGCGCTTTGAGGCCTATGGTAGAAAAGGAAATAACTTCACATAAAAATTACACAGAAGCATTATCAGAAACTAGTTTGGGATATTTGCATTCAAATCACAGAGTTGAACATTCCTCTTCATAGAGCAGTTTTGGAACACTCTTTTTGTAGAATCTGCCAGTGGATATTTGGATCTCTACGTGGCCTTCGTGTGAAATGTATTTTCTTCTTATAAAACAAGACAGAAGAATTCTCAGAAACTTCTTTTTGATGTGCGCTTTCAACTCGCAGAGTTGAACCTTCCTTTCGATAGAGCAGTTTTGAAACTCTCTTTTTGTAGAATTTCCAAGGGGATATTTAGCGCCATGTGGGGCCTATGGTAGAAAAGGCAATATCTTCATCGAAAAACCAGACAGAATAATTCTCAGAAACTACTTTGTGGTGTGTGTGTTCAACTCGCAGAGTTTAAACTTTCTTTCGATAGACCAGGTTTGAAACCCTCTTTTTGTAGACTCTGCAAGTGAATATTTGGACTTTTTTGAGGCCTTTTTGGAAACGGGTTTTCTTCATATGAAACTTGACTGAATAATTCTCAGAAACCTATTTGTGATGTGTGCATTCAACTCACAGAGTTGTACCTTCATTTCGATAGAGCAGTTTTGAAATACTCTTTTTGTAGATTTTCCAAGTGGATATTTAGAGCGGTTTGAGGCCTGTGGTGGAAAAGGAAATATATTAATAGAAAAACTAGATAGAATCATTCTCAGAAACTACTTTGTGATGTTTGCATTCAGCATACAGAATTTAACCTTTCTTTTGATAGAGCAGTTTTGAAACACTCTTTTTGTGGAATTTGCAAGTGTATATTTAGAGTGCTGCGAGACCTACGGTAGAAAAGGAGATATCTTCACATAAAAACTAGACAGAAGCATTGTCAGAGACTACTTTGTGATATTTTCATTCAACTCACAGAGTTGAACATTCCTTTTGATGGAGCAGTTTTGAAACACTCTTTTTGTAAAATCTGCAAGTGGATATTTTGACCCATTTGTGGCTTCGTTTGAAACGTGATTTCTTCATATAAAACTAAACAGAAGGATTCTCAGAAACTTCTTTGTGATATGTGCTTTCAACTCTCAGAGTTGAACTTTCCTTTCGATAGAGCAGTTTCAAAACTCTCTTTTTGTAGAAATTCCAAGTGGATATTTAGCACCGTTTCTGGCCTAAGGTAGAAAAGGAAATATCTTCATAGGAAAATTAGAAAGAATGATTCGCAGAAACTACTTTGTGATGTGTGCGATCAACCCACGGAGTTTAATCTTTCTTTTCATAGAGCAGTTGTGAAACACTCTTCTTGTAAGATCTCCTAGTGAATATTTGGACTTTTTTGAGACCTTCTTTGTAAACGGGATTTCTTCATATGAAACTTGACACAAGAATTCTCAGAAACTTCTTTGTGATCTGTGCATTCCACACACAGTGATGTAGCTTCCTTTCGTTAGAGCAGTTTTGAAATAATCTTTTTGTAGAATTTCCAAGTAGATATTTAGAGCGGTTTGAGGCCTCTAGTAGAGATGGAAATATCTTCATAGAAAAACTAGACAGAATCATTCTCAGAAACTACTTTGTGATGTGTGTATTCAGCTTACAGAGTTTAATCTTACCTTTGATAAGAGCAGTTTTGAAACACTCTTTTTGTAGAATTTGCAAGTGTATATTTAGAGCGCTTTGAGGCCTATGGTAGAAAAGGAAATATCTTCACATAAAAACTAGACAGATTCATTGTCAGGAAGTACTCTGTGATATTTGCATTCAACTCACAGAGTTGAACATTTCTCTCGATAGGACAGTTTTGAAATACACTTTTTGTAGAATCTGCGAGTGCATATTTCGACCTCTTTGTGGTCTTCGTTTGAAATGTGATTTCTTCATATAAAACTAGACAGAAGAATTCTCAGAAACTTCTTTGTGATGTATGCTTTGAACTCACAGACTTGAACCTTCCTTTCGATGGAGCAGTTTTGAAACTGTCTTTTTGTAGCTTTTCCAAGTGGGTATTTAGCACCGTTTGTGGCCTATGGTAGAAAAATCAAAGTCTTCATAGAAAAACTAGACAGAATGATTTTCAGAAACTACTTTGTGATGTGTGCATTCAATTCACAGAGTTTAACCTTTCTTTTGATAGTGCAGTTTTGAAGCACCCTTTTTGTAGAAACTGCAGGAGAACATTTGGACTTTTTTGAGGCCTTCGTTGGAAACGGGTTTTCTTCATATTAAACTTTACAGAAGAATTCTCAGAAACTTCTTTCTGATTTGTGCATTCAACTCACAGAATTGAACCTTCCTTTCCATAGAGCAGTTTTGAAATTCCCTTTTTGTTGTATTTCCAACTCGATATTTAGAGAGCTTTGAGGCCTACGGCAGAAAAGGAAATATCTTCACATAAAAACTAGACAGAAGCATTGTGAGAAACTTCTTTTTGATATTTGCATTCAACTCACAGAGTTGAACGTTCCTCTTGATAGAGCAGTTTTGAAACACTCTTTTTGTAGAATCTGCAAGTGGATATTTGGAGTTCTTTGTGGTCTTCTTTTGAAACGTGATTTCTTCATGTAAAACTAGACAGAAGAATTCTCAGAAACTTCTTTGTGATGTTTGCTTTCAATTCACAGTGTTCAACCTTCCTTTCGTAGAGCAGTTTTGAAACTATCTTTTTGTGGAATTTCTAAGTGGATATTTAGCGCCGTTTGGGGCCTATGTTAGAAAAGGCACAATCTACATAGAATACTAGACAGAATCATTCTCAGAAACTATTTTGTGATGTGAGCGTTCAACTCACAGGGTTTAACCTTTCTTTTGATAGAGCATTTTTGAAACACTCTTTTTGTAGTATCTGCAAGTGAATATTTGGACTTTTGTGAGGCCCTCTTTGGAAACGGGATTTCTTCATATAAAACCTGACAGAAGAACTCTTAGAAACTTCTTTGTGATGTTTGCATTCAACTCACAGTGTTGAACCTTCCTTGCAATAGAGCAGTTTTTAAATATTATTTTCGTAGAATTTCCAAGTGGATATTTAGAGCGGTTTGAGGCCCTTGGTAGAAAAGGAAATAACTTCATAAAAAACTAGGCAGAATCACTCTCAGAGACAACTTAGTGCAGTGTGAATTCAGCTTACAGAGTTTAATATTTTTTTGATAGAGCACTTTTGAAGCAATCTTTTTGTGGAATTTGCAAGTGTGTATTTAGAGTGCTTTGAGGCATACGATAGAAAAGGAAATATCTTCACATAAAACTAGATAGAAGTATTGTCAGAAACAACTTTGTGATATTTGCATTCAACTAACAGATTTGAACTTTCCTCTTGATAGAGCAGTTTTGAAAAACTCTTTTGAAGAATCTGCAAGTAGATAATTGAAACTCTCTGTGATCTTTGTTTGAAACGTGATTTCTTCATATAAAACTAGACAGAAGAATTCTCCGAAACTTATTTGTGATGTGTGCTTTCAACTCACAGTGCTGAACCGTCCTTTCATTAGAGCAGTTTTGAAATACTCTTTTTGTAGATTTTCCAAGTGGATATTTAGAGCGGTTTGAGGCCTATGGTAGAAAAGGAAATATCTTCAAATAAAAACTAGACAGAATGATTCTCAGAAACTACTTTGTGATGAGTGCGTTCAACTCACAGAGTTTAACCTTTCTTTTGATAGAGCTGTTTTGAAACAGCCTTTTTGTAGTATCTGTGAGTGTATATTTAGAACTCTTTGTCACTTTCGTTAGAAACATGATTTCTTCGTATAAAACTTCACAGAAGAATTCTAAGAAACATCTTTGTGATGTGTGCTTTCAACTCACAGAGTTGAACATTCCTCTTGATAGAGCAGTTTTGAAACACTATTTATGTAGAATCTGCAAGTGGATATTTGGGCCTCTTTGTAGCCTTCTTTTGAAAAGTCATTTCTTCATATAAAACTAGACAGAATAATTCTCAGAAACTTCTTTGTGCTGTGTGCTTTCAACTCACAGAATTGAACTTTCCTTTTAATAGAGCGATTTTGAAACTCACATTTTGTAGGATTTCGAAGTGGATATTGAGTGCCATTTCAGGCCTATGTTATAAAGGAAATATCTTAATAGAAATACTAGACCGAATGATGCTCAGAAACTAATTTGTGATATGTGGGTTCAACTCACCGAGTTTAAACTTTCTGTTGATAGAGCAGTTTTGATACACTCTTTTTGTCGAATCTGCAAGTGAATATTTTTGACTTTTTTGAGGCCTTCGTTTGAAACTGCATTTCTTCATATAAAACTTGACAGAAAAATTCTCAGAAACTTCTTTCTGATGTGTGCATTCAACTCACAGAGTTGAACCTTCCTTTCTATAGAGAAGTTTTGAAATACTCTTTTTGCAAAATATCCAAGTGGATATTTGGAGAGGTGTTTAGGTCTGTCGTAGAAAAGGAAATATCTTCTTAGAAAAACTGGACAGAATCATTGTGAGAAACTGCTTTTTGATGTGAGCATTGAGCTTATAGAATTTAACCTTTCTTTTGATAGAGCAGTTTTGAAACACTCTTTCTGTGGAATTTTTGTTCATTTAGGGCGCTTTGAGGCCTACAGTAGAAAAAGAAATATCTTCACATAGAAACTAGACAGAAGCTTTGTCAGAAACTGCTTTGTGATATTTGCATTTAACTCACAGAGTTGAGCATTCCTCTTGATAGAGCAGTTTTGAAACACCCTTTTTGTAGAATCTGCAGGTGGATATTTGGACCTCTTTGTGGCCTTCGTTTGAAATGTGATTTATTCATATAAAACTAGACAGAAAAATTATCAGAAACTTCTTTGTATTGTGTGCTTTCAACTCACAGATTTGAAGCTTCCTATCGATAGAGCAATTTTGAAACTGTCTTTTTGTAAAATTTCCAATTGGATAGATATTTAGCGTGGTTTGAGGCCTATGGTAGAACAGAAAATATCTTCATAGAAAAACTAGACAGAAGGATTCTCAGAAACTTCTTTGAGATGAGTGCATTCAACTCACAGAGTTTAACTTTTCTTTTGATAGAGCAGTTTTGAAACACTATTTTTGTAGTATCTGCGAGTGGATATTTAGACCTCTTTGTGGCATTCGTTAGAAACGTGATTTCTTTGTATAAAACTACACAGAAGAATTCTAAGAAACTACTTTGTGATGTGTGCTTTCAACTCACAGAGTTGAACCTTTCTTTTGATAGAGCAGTTTTGAAACTCTGTTTTTGTAGTATTTCCAAGTGGATATTTAGTGCTGTTTGAGGCCTATGGTAGAAAAGGCAATATCTTCATAGAAAAACTAGACAGAATGATTCTCAGAAACTACTTTGCCATGTGTGCGTTCAACTCACAGAGTTTAACTTTTCTTTTGATAGAGCAGTTTTGAAACACTCTTTTTGTAGAATCTGCAATGGAATATTTGGACTTTTTTGGGGCCTCCGTTGGAAACGAGATTTCTTCATTTAAAACGTGACAGAAGAATTCTCAGAAACTTCTTTGGGATTTCTGCATTCAACTCACAGTGTTGAACCTTTTTTTCGATAGAGCAGGTTTGAAATAATCTTTTTGCTGAATTTCCAAGTGGATATTTAGAGGGGTTTGAGGCCTATGGTAGAAAAGGAAATATCTTCATAGAAAATCTAGACAGAATCATTCTCAGAAACTACTTTGTGATGTGTGCATTCGGGTTACGGAGTTTAACCTTTCTTTTGATAGAGCAGTTTTGAAAAAAACTTTTTTTGTGGAATTTGCAAGTGTATATTTAGAGCTCCTTGAGGCCTACGGCAGAAAAGGATATATCTTCACATAAAAACTAGACAGAAGCATTGTCAGAAACTACTTTGTGATATTTGCATTCAACTCACAGAGTTGAACATTCCTCTTGATAGAGCAGTTTTGAAACACTCTTTTAGTAGAATCTGCAAGTGGACATTTGGACCTCTTTGAGGTCTTCATTTGAAACGTGATTTCTTCATATAAAAATAGACAGAAGAATTCTCAGGAACTTCTTTGTGATGTGTGCTTTCAACTCACAGAGTTGAACCTTCCTTTCGATAGAGCAGTTTTGAAACTCTCTTTTTGTAGAATTTCCAAGTGGATATTTGCCGCCGTTTGAGGCCTATGTTAGAAAAGGCAATATCTTCATAGAAAAATTTGACAGAATGATTCTCAGAAACTACTTTGTGATGTGTGAGTTCAACTCACAGATTTTAACCTTTCTTTTGATAGAGCAGTTTTGAAACACTTTTTGTAGAATCCGCAACGAATATTTGGACGTTTTGGGGGCCTTCGTTGGAAACGAGATTTCTTCATATAAAACGTGACAGGAGAATTCTCAGAATCTTCTTTGTGATGTGTGCTTTTAACTCACAGAGTTGAACCTTCGTTTCGATAGAGCACTTTTGAAATACTCTTTTTGTAAAATTTCCAAGTGAGTATTTAGAGCGGTTTGAGGCCTGTGGAAGAAAAGGATATAACTTCATAGAAAAACTAGACAGAATCATTCTCAAAACATTTTGCGGTGTGTTCATTCAGCATACAGAGATTACCCTTTCTTTTGTAGAGCAGTGTTGAAGCACTCTTTTTGTGGAATTTGCAAGTATATATTTAGAGCGCTTTGAGGCCTACGGTAGAAAAGGAAATATCTTCACCTAAAAACTAGACAGAAGAAATGTCAGAAACTACTTTGTGATATTTGCATTCAACTCACACAGGTGAACATTCCTCTTGATAGAGCAGTTTTGAAACACTCTTTTTGTAGAATCTGCAAGTGGATATTTGGACCTCTTTGGGGTCTTCGTTTGAAACGTGATTTCTTCAAATAAAACTCGATAGAAGAATTCTAAGAAACTTCTTTGTGATGTGTCCTTTCAACTCACAGAGTTGAAACTTCCTTTTGAATGAGCAGTTTTGAGATTCACATTTTGTAGAATTTCCAAGTGGATATTTCACTCCGTTTGAGGCCTATGGTAGAAAAGACAATATCTTCTTTGAGAAACAAGACACAATGATTCTCAGAAACTACTTTGTGGTGTGTGCGTTCAACTCAAAGAGTTTAACCTTTCTTTTGGTAGAGCAGTTTTGAAGCACTCTATTTGTAGGATCTGCAAGTGAATATTTGGAATTTTGTGGCCTTCGTTGGAAACGGGATTTCTTCATATAAAAGTTGATAGAAGAATTCTCAGAAACTTCTTTCTGATGTGTGCTTCCAACACACAGAGTTGAACCTTCCTATCCTTAGAGCAGTTATGAAACTCTCTTATTGTAGAATTTCCAAGTGGATAGAAAAATTGGACAGAATCATTCTCAGAAACTAATTTGTGATGTTGGCATTCAGGTTACAGAGTTTAACCTTTCACTTGACAGAGCAGTTTTGAACACTCTTTTTGTGGAATTTGCAAGTTTATATTGAGAGGGCTTTGAGGCCTATGGTAGAAAAGGAATTATCTTCACATAAAACTAGACAGAGGCATTGTCAGAAACTACATTTTGATATTTGCATTCAACTCCCAGAGTTGAACATTCTTCTTTATAGAGCAGTTTTGAAACACTCTTTTTGTAGAATCTGCAAATTAATATTTGTATATTTTGAGGCCTTCTTTTGAAACGGGATTTCTTCATAAAAAACTTGACATAAGAATTTTCAGAAAGTTCATTGTGTTGTGTGAGTTCAACTAAAAGGGATGAATCTTCCTTTCGATAGAGCAGTTTTGAAAGACTGTTTTTATAGAATTTCCAAGTGGATATTTATAGCGGTTTGTCGCCTGTGGTAGAAAAGGAAATATCTTCATAAAAAAACTAGATAGATAGAAAAATTATCAGAAACTGCTTTGTGATGTGTGCATTCAGCTTACAGAGTTTAGAAAAATTATCAGAAACTGCTTTGTGATGTGTGCATTCAGCTTACAGAGTTTAACCTTTCTTTTGATAGAGCAGTTTTGAAACACTCTTTTTGTGGAATTTGCAAGTGTATATTTAGATCGCTTTCAGGCCTACGGTAGATAAGGAAATATCTTCACATAAAAACTAGACAGAAGCATTGTCAGAAACTACTTTGTGATAGTGGCATTCAACTTACAGAGTTTCACCTATCTTTTGATAGAGCAGTTCTGAAATACTCTTTGTGTGTAATTTGCAACTGTATATTTAGAGTGCTTTGAGGTCTACGGTAGAAAAGGAAATATCTTCCCATAAAAACTTGACAGAAGCATTGTCAGAAACTAATTTGTGATATTTGTATTCATCTCACAGAATTGACAATTCCTCCTGATAGAGCAGTTTTGAAACACTCCTATTGTAGAATCTGCATGTGGATATTTGGACCTCTTTGTGCCCTTCGTTTGAAATGTGATTTCTTCATATAAAACTAGACAGAAGAATTCTCAGAAACTTCTTTGTGATGTGTGCTTTCAACTCACAAAGTTGAACCTTCCTTTCGATAGAGCAGTTTTGAAACTCTCTTTTTGTAGAATTTCCAAGTGGATATCTATCGCCGTTTGAGGCCTATGGTTAAAAAGAAAATATCCTGGCCGGGCGCGGTGGCTCACGCCTGTAATCCCAGCACTTTGGGAGGCCGAGGCAGGCGGATCACGAGGTCAGGAGATCGAGACCATCCCGGCTAAAACGGTGAAACCCCGTCTCTACTAAAAATACAAAAAATTAGCCGGGCGTAGTGGCGGGTGCCTGTAGTCCCAGCTACTTGGGAGGCTGAGGCAGGAGAATGGCGTGAACCCGGGAGGCGGAGCTTGCAGTGAGCCGAGATCCCGCCACTGCACTCCAGCCTGGGCGACAGAGCGAGACTCCGTCTCAAAAAAAAAAAAAAAAAAAAGAAAATATCCTCATAGGAAAATTAGACAGAATGATTCTGAGAAATTGGTTTCTGATGGGTGCATTCAACTCACAGAGTTTAACCTTTCTTTTGAAAGAGTAGATTTGAAACACCCTTTTTGTAGGTTCTGCTAGTGAATATTAGGAATTCTTGGGGGCCTTCGTTGCAAACGGGTTTTCTTCATATAAATGTTGAAAGAGGAATTCTCAGAAACTTCTTTGTGATGTGTGCATTCAAATCACAGTGTTTAACCTTCCTTTCGATAGAGCAGTTTTGAATTACTCTTTTTGTAGAATTTCCAAGTGTATAATTATAGCGGTCTGAGACCTGTGGTAGAAAACGAAATATCTTCATAGAGAAACTAGACAGAATCATTGTCAGAAACTAGTTGTGAGGTGTGCATTCACCTTACAGAGTTTAACATTTCTTTTGATAGAGTAGTTTTGAAACACTCTTTTTGTGGAATTTGCAATTGTGTATTTAGAGTGCTTCGAGGCCTACGGTAGAAAAGGAAATATCTTCACATAAAAACTAGACAGAAGCATTGTCAGAAACTACTTTGTGATATTTGCATTCAACTCACAGATTTGAACATTCCTCTTGATAGAGCAGTTTTGAAACACTATTTATGTAGAGTATGCAAGTGGATATTTGGGCCTCTTTGTGGCCTTCTTTTGAAACGTGATTTCTTCATATAAAACTACAGAGAAGAATTCTCAGAATCTTCTTTGTTATGTGTGCTTTCAACTCACAGAGTTGAACCTTCCTTTCGATAGAGCAGTTCTGAAACTCTCTTTTTGTAGAATTTCCAATGGTATATTTAGTGACCTTTCAGGCCTATGGTAGAAAAGGAAATATCTTCATAGGAAAGTTAGACAGAATGATTCTCAGAAACTACCTTTTGATGTGAGTGTTCAACTAACAGAGTTTAACCTTTGTTTTGATAGAGAAGATTTGAAACACTCTCTTTGTAGAAACTGCTTGTGAATATTTCGATTTCTTTTGGGCCTTCGTTGCAAATGGGATTTCTTCATATAAATCTTGAAAGAAGAATTCTCAGAAACTTCTTTGTGATGTGTGCATTCAACTCACAAAGTTGAACCTTCCTTTCGATAGAGCAGTTTTGAATAACTCTTTTTGTAGAATTTCCAAGTGGGTATCTTCAGCGGTTTGAGGCGTGTGGTAGAAAAGGAAATAACTTCATGCAAAAACTGACAGAATTATTGTCAGAAACTAATTTGTGATGTGTGCATTCAGATTACTGATTTTAACCTTTCTTTTGATAGAACAGTTTTGAAACACACTTTTTGTGGAATTGGCAACTGTATATTTAGAGAGTTTTGAGGCCTACTGTAGAAAAGGAAATATCTTCACATAAAATCTGGACAGATGCATTGTCCGGAACCACTTTTTGATATTTGCATTCAACTCACAGAGTTGAAAATTATTCTGGATAGAACAGTTTTGTAACACTCTTTTTGTAAAATCTGCAAGTGGATATTTGGGCCTCTTTCTGGCCTTCTTTTAAAACGTGATTTCTTCATATAAAAGTAGACAGAATGATTCTCAGAAACTCCTTTGTGATGTGTGCTTTCAACTCACAGAGTTGAACCTTCCTTTCGATAGAGGAGTTTTGAAACTCTCTTTTTGTAGAATTTCCCTGTGGATAATTAGCGTCGTTTCGCGCCTATGGTAGAAAAGGAAATATCTTCATAGATATACTAGACAGAATGATTCTCAGAAACTACATTGTGATGTGTGCGTTCAACTCACAGAGTTTAAACTTTCTGTTCATAGAGCAATTTTGAAACACACTTTTTATAGAATCTGCAAGTGAATATTCGGACTTTTTTGAGGCCTTCGTTGGAAACGGGATTTCGTCATATAAAACTTGATAGAAGAATTCTTGGAAACTTCTTTGTGATGTGTGCATTCAACTGACAGGGTTGAACCTTCCTTTTGATAGAACAGTTTTGAAATACTCTTTTTGCAGAATATCCAAGTGGATATTTGGAACGGTTTTTAGGTATGTGGTTGAAAAGGAAATATCTTCCTAGAAAAACTAGACAGAATCATTCTGAGAAACTCCTTTTTGATGTAAGCATTCAGCTTACAGTAGTTAATCTTTCTTTTGATAGAGCAGTTTTCAAATTCTCTTTCTGTGGGATATGTAAGTGTTTATTTAGAGCGCTTTGAGGCCTACAGTAGAAAAGGAAATATCTTCACAAAAAAAGTAGACAGAAGCATTGTTAGGAACTACTTTGTGATATTCACCTTCAACTCACAGAGTTGAACATTCCTCTTCATAGAGCAGTTTTGAAACAGTCTTATTTTAGAATCTGCAAGTGGATATTTGCGCCTCTTTGTGGACTTCTTTTGAAACATGATTTCTGCCTATAAAACCAGACAGAAGTATTCTCAGAAACTTCCTGTGATGTGTGCTTTCAACTCACAGAGTTGAAGCTTCCTTTCGATAGAGCAATTTTGAAACAGTCTTTTTGTAGCATTTCCAAGTATATATTTAGTGTCGTTTGAGGCCTATGGTAGAAAAGGCAATAACTTCATAGAAAAACAAGACAGAATGATTCTCAGAAACTACTTTGTGATGTGTGCGTTCAACTCACAGAGTTTAAACTTTCTTTTAATAGAGTAGTTTTGAAACACTCTTTTTGTAGAATCTGCAAGTGAATATTTGGACTTTCTTGAGGCCTTCTTTGGAAACGGGATTTCTTCATATAAAATTGGACAGAAGAATTTTCAGAAACTTCTTTGTGATGTGTGCCTTCAACTCACAAAGTTGAACTTTCCTTTCGATAGACCAGCTTTGAAATACTCTTTTTGTTGAAATTCCAAGTGGATATTTAGAGCGGTTTGAGGCCTATGGTAAAAAAGGAAATATCTTCATAGAAAACCGGACAGAATCCTTCTCTGAAACTACTTTGTGAAGTGTGCATTCAGCTTACAAAGTTTAACATTTCTTTTGATAGAGCAGTCTTGAAACACTCTTTTTGTGGAATTTGCAAGTGTATATTTAGAGAGCTTTGAGGCCTATGGTGGAAAAGGAGATATCTTCACATAAAAACTTGAAAGAAGCTTCGTCAGAAACTACTTTGTGATATTTGCATTCAACGCATTCAACTCACAGATTTGAACATTCCTCTTGATAGAGCAGTTTTGAAACACTCTTTTTGAAGAATCTGCAAGGGGATATTTCGACCTCTTTGTTGCCTTCGTATGAAACGTGATTTCTTCATATAAATCTAAACGGAAGAATTTTCAGAAACTTCTTTGTGATGTGTGCTTTCAACTCACAGAGTTGAAACTTCCTTTCGATTGAGCTGTTTTGAAACTCTCTTTTTGTAGAATTTCCAAGTGGATATTTAGCGCCGTTTGAGGCCTTTGGTAGAAAAGGCAATATCTTCATAGAAAAACTAGACAGAATAATTCTCAGAAACTACTTTGTGATGTGTGGGTTCAACTCACCGAGTTTAACCTTTATTTTGATAGAGCAGTTTTGAAACACTGTTTTTGTAGAATCTGCAAGTGAATATTTGTATTTTTTGAGGCCTTCTTTGGAAACGGGATTTCTTCATATAAAACTTGACAGAAGAATTCTCAGAATCTTCTTTGCGATGTGCAAATTCAACTCACAGTGTTGAGCCTTCTTTTGATTGAGCAGTTTTGCAGTTCTATTTTTGTAGCATTTCCAAGTGGACATATAGAGAGGTTTCAGGCCTGTGGTAGAAAAGGAAATACCTTCATAGAAAAAATAGACAGAGTCATTCTCAGAAACTAATTTGTGACGTGTGCATTCAGCTTACACAGTTTAACGTTTCTTTTACTAGAGCAGTTGTGAAACACTCTTTTTGTGGAATTTGCAAGTGTATATTTATAGTGCTTTGAGGCCTACGGCAGAAAAGGAAATAGCTTCACATAAAAACTAGACAGAATCATTCTCTGAAACTAATTTGTGATGTGGGCATTCTGCTCACACAGTTTAACCTTTCTTCTGAAAGAGCCGTTTCGAAACACTCTTTTTGTACAATCTGCTAGTGAATATTTGGACTTTAGGGGCCTTCATTGGAAACGGGTTTTCTTCATATAAAACGGACAGAAGAATTCTCAGAAACTTCTTTGTGATGTGTGCTTTCAACTCACAGAGTTGAACCTTCCTTTCGATAGAACAGTTTTGAAATACACTTTTTGCAGAATTTCCAAGTGGAAATTTGGAGCGGTATGAGGCCTGTGGTAGAAAATGAAATATCTTCTTGGAAAAACTAGAGAGAATCATTCTGGGAAAGTAATTTGTGATGTGTGCATTCAGCTTATAGTGTTTAATATTTCTTTGATAGAGCAGTTTTGAAACGATCTTTTGTGAAGTTTTCAAGTGTGTATTTTGACCACTTTGAGGCCTACGGTGGAAAAGGAAATATCTTCACATAAAAACTAGACAGAAGAATTTTCAGAAACTACTTTGTGATACTTGCATTCAACTCACAGAGTTGTACATTGCCCTTGATAAAGCAGTTTAGAAACTCGCTTTTTGTATAATCTTCAAGTGAATATTTTGACCTCTTTGTGGCCTTCCTTTGAAACGTGATTACTTCATATAAAACTATACACAAGAATTCTGAGAATCTTCTTTGTGATGTGTGCTTTCATCTCACAGATTTGAAGATTCTTTTCAATAGAGCAGTTTTGAAACTCTCTTTTTGTAGAATTTCCAAGTGGATATTTAAATCCGTTCGAGGCCTAAGGTAGAAAAGGCAGTTTCTTCATAGAAAAACTAGACGGAGTGATTCTCAGAAACTACTTTGCGGTGTGTGCGTTCAACTCACAGAGTTTAAACTTTCTTTTGATAGAGCAGTTTTGAAACACACTTTTTATGGAATTTACAAGTGTATATTTAGAGTGCTTTGAGGCCTACGGTAGAAGAGGAAATATCTTCACCTAAAAACTAGACAGAAGCATTTACAGAAACTACTGTGAGATATTTGCATTCCACACACTTCCAGATGTGTGCGTTCATCTCTCGGAGTTTAACCTTTCTTTCGATAGAGCAGTTTTGATACACTGTTTTTGTGGAATTTGCAAGTGTATATTTACAGCGCTTTGAGGCCTAAAGTAGAAAAGGAGCTAGACAGAAGCATTATCAGTAACTACTTTGCGATATTTGCATTCAACCCACAGAGTTGAACATTCCTCTTGATAGAGCAGTTTTGAAACACCGCTTTTGTGGAATCTGCAAGTGAATACTTGGACCTCTTTGAGGCTTTCGTGGGAACGGGAATTTCATCATAAAAAAACTAGACAGAAGAATTCTCAGAAACTTCTTTTTGATGTGTGCATTCAACTCGCAGATGTGAAAGTTCCTTTCAATAGAGCAGTTTTGAAACACTCTTTTTGTAGATCTTGCAAGTGTGTATTTAGAGCGCTTTGAGGCCTATAGTAGAAAAGGAAATATCTTCGTAGAAAAACTACACAGAAGCATTCTCAGAAACTCCTTTGTTGTGTTTGCATTCAACTCACAGAGTTGAGCATTCCTCTTGATAGAGCCGTTTTGAAACACTCTTTTTGTAGAATCTGCAGGTGGATATTTAGACCTCTTAGAGGCCTTCGTTGGAAAAGGGATTTCTTCATATAAAACTAGACAGAAGAATTCTCAGGAATTTCTTTGTGATGTCTGTACTCAACTCACAGAGGTGAATATTCCTTTTGATAGAGCAGTTTAGAAACACTCTTTTTGTAGAGTTTGCAAGTGGATATTTAGAGCGTTTTGAGGCCAATGTTAGAAAAGGAATTACCTTCACATAAAAACAAGACAGAAGCATTCTCTGAAACTACTTAGTGATGCGTGTATTCAACTCACTGAGTATAACCTTTATTTTGATAGAGGAGTTTTGAAACAGTCTTTTTGTATAATTTGCAAGTGTGTATTTAGAGTGCTTTGAAGTCTACGGTAGAGAAGGAAATATCTTCACATAAAAACGAAAAAGAAGTATTCTCAGAAACTGCTTTGTGATGTTCGCATTCAACTCACAGAGTTGAACTTTCCACTTGACAGAGCAGTTTTGAAACACTCTTTTTGCAGAATCTTCTAGTGGATATTTGGACCACTATGAGGCCTTCGTTGTAAACGGGATTTCTTCATATAAAACTAGACAGAAGAGTTCTCAGAGACTTCTTTGTGATGTGTGCATCCAATTCACAGAGTTGAACATTCCTTTTGATAGAGCAGATTTGAAACACTCTTTTTGTAGAATTTCCAAGAGAATATTTAGAGCACATTGAATCCTATGGTAGAAAACTGAATATCTTCATACAAAAACTAGACAGAATTATTCCCAGAAACTACTTTGTGATGTGTGCCTTCAACTCACAGAGTTTAACCCTTCTTTTGATAGAGCGGTTTTCAAACACTGTGTTTGTAAAGTCTGCATCTGGATATTTGGAGCGCTTTGAGGTTTTCTTTGGAAACGGGAATATCTTCACATAAAAAAAGGAGACAAAGTATTCTCAGAAACTACTTTGTGATGTCTGTACTCAACTCACAGAGGTGAACCTTCCTTTTGATAGAGCGGTTTTGAAACACTCTTTTTGTAGAGTTTGTAAGTGGGTATTTAGAGCGCTTTGAGGCCTACGGTAGAAAAGGAAACATCTTCACATAAAAACTAGACAGAAGCATTCTCAGAAACTACTTTGTGATGTATGCATTCAACCCGCAGAGTTAAACATTCCTTTTGATAGAGCAGT
Organism: Homo sapiens; assembly: GCF_000001405.40. Lineage (NCBI taxonomy): Eukaryota > Metazoa > Chordata > Mammalia > Primates > Hominidae > Homo > Homo sapiens. Next base: position 90,606,918 of record NC_000003.12, on the reverse strand, counting down.
TTGTAACACTCTTTTTCTAGGATCTGCAAGTGGATATTTGGACCTCTTTGTGGTCTTCGTTTGAAACGTGATTTCTTCACATAAAACTAGACAGAAGAATTCTCAGAAGCTTCTTTGTGATGTGTGCATTCAACTCACAGAGTTGAATGTTCCTTTCAAAAGAGCAGTTTTGAAACACTCTTTTTGTAGAATTTCCAAGTGGATATTTAGGACGCTTTTAGGCCTATAGTATAAAAGGTAATATCATCATATAAGCACTAGAGAAAATCAAAATCAGAAAGCACTTTATAATGTGTGCATTCAACTCACTGAGTATAAACTTTCTTTTGATAGAGCAGTTTTGAAACACTCTTTTTGTTGAATTTGGAAGTGTGTATTTAGAGCACTTTGAGGCCTATGGTAGAAAGCGATATATCTTCACAGAAAAAGTACACAGAAATATTCTCAGATAGAGCAGTTTTGAAACACTCTTTTTGTAGTTTGCAAGTGGATATTTAGAGTTCTTTGAGGCCTATGGTAGGAAAGGATATATCTTCATATAAAAACTAGACAGAAGCATTCTCAGAAACTACTTTGTGATGTTTGCATTCAACTCACGGAGTTGAAATTTCCTCTTGATAGAGCAGTTTTGAAACACTCTTTTTGTAGAATCTGACGGTGGCTATTTGAACCTCTTTGAGGCCTTTGTTGGAAACGGGATTTCTTCACATAAAACTAGACAGAAGAATTCTCAGAAACTTCTTTGTGATGTGTGCGTTCAACTCACAGAGTTTAACCTTTCTTTTGATAGAGCAGTGTTGAAGCACTTTTTTTGTAGAACCTGCAAGTGAAAATTTGGACTTTTTTGTGGCCTTCGGTGGAAACCGGTTTTCTTCACATAAAACTTGACAGAAGAATTCTCAGAAACTTTTGTGATGTGTGCATTCAGCTCACAGAATTGAACCTTCCTTTCTATAGAGCAGTTTACAAATTCTCTTTGTGTAGAATTTCCAGGTGGATATTTGGAGATGTTTCAGCCTATGATAGAAAAGGAAATACCTTCATAGAAAAACTAGACAGAATTATTCTCAGAAACTTCTTTGTGATGTGTGCATTCACCTCACAGAGTTTAAACTTTCTATTGATAGAGCAGTTTTGAAACACTCTTTTTGTGGAATTTGCAATGTATAATTTCTGCATTTTGAGGTCTACGTTAGAAAAGGAAATATCTTCACATAAAAACTAGACAGAAGCAGTGTCAGAAACTGCTTTGTGATATTTGGATTCAACTCACAGAGCTGAACATTCCTCTTGATAGACCTGTTTTGAAACGCTCTTTCTGTAGAATCTGCAAGTGGATATTTTGATCTCTTGTGACCTTCGTTTGAAAGGTGATTTCTTCCTATAATACTAGACCAAAGAATTCTCATAAACTTCTTTGTGATGTGTGTTTTCAACTCACATAGTTGAACCTTCCTTTCGATAGAGCAGTTTTGAAACTCTCTTTTTGTAGGATTTCCAAGTGGATATTTAGCGCCGTTTGAGGCCCATTGTAGAAAAGGCAATATCTTCATAGAAAAACAAGACAGAATGATTCTCAGAAACTACTTTGTGATGTGTGGGTTCAACTCACAGAGTTTAACCTTTCTTTTGATAGAGCAGTGTTGAAGCACTTTTTTTGTAGAACCTGCAATTGAATATTTGGACTTTTTTGTGGCCTTCGTTGGAAACCGGTTTTCTTCATATAATACTTGACAGTAGAATTCTCAGAAACTTCTTTGTGATGTGTGCATTCTGCTCACGGAGTTGAACCTTCCTTTTTATATAACAGTTTAGAAATACTCTTTTTGTAGAATTTCCAAGTGGATATTTAGAGCTGTTGGTGCCTATGATAGAAAAGAAAATACCTTCATAGAAAAACTAGACAGAATCATTCTCAGAAACTTCTTTGTGATGTGTGCATTCACCTCACAGAGTTTAACTTTTCTATTGATAGAGCAGTTTTAAAACACTCTTTTTGTGGAATTTGCAAGTGTACAATTAGTGCACATTGAGGTCTACGTTAGAAAAGGAAATATCTTCACATAAAAACTAGACAGAAGCAGTGTCAGAAACTGCTTTGTGATATTTGGATTCAACTCACAGAGCTGAACATTCCTCTTGATAGAGCTGTTTTGAAACACTCTTTCTGTAGAATCTGCAAGTGGATATTTAGATCTCTTGAGCCCTTCGTTTGAAACGTGATTTCTTCCTATAAAACTAGACCGAAGAATTGCCAGCAACTTCTTTGTGATGTGTGCTTTCCACTCACAGAATTGAACCTTCCTTTCGATACATCAGTTTTGACACTTTCTTTTTGTAGAATTTCCAAGTAGATATTTAGCGCCGTTTGAGGCCTATGGTAGAAAAGGCAATATCTTCATAGAAAAACTAGACATAATGATTCTCAGAAACTACTTTGTGGTGTGTGCGTTCAACCCACCTTGTTTAACGTTTCTTTAGATAGAGCAGGTTTGAAAAACTCTTTTTGTAGAATCTGAGGGTGAATATTTGGACTTTTTTGAGGCCTTCCCTGGAAACGGGTTTTCTTCATATAAACTTGACAGAAGAATTCTCAGAAACTTCTTTGTGATGTGCGCATTCAACACACCGAGTTGAACCTTCCTTTCGATAGAGCAGTTTTGAAATACTCTTTTTGTTGTATTTCCAAGTGGATATTTAGAGCGGATTGAGGCCTGTGGTAGAAAAAGTAATATCTTCACTGAAAAACTAGACAGAATCATTATCAGAAACTACTTACTGATGTGTGCATTCAGCTTACAGAGTTTAACCTTTCTTTTGATAGAGCACTTTTGAAACAAACTTTTTGTATAATCTGCAGGTGGATATTTGGACGTCTTGGTGGCCTTCGTTTGAAACGTGATTTCTTCATATAAAACTAGGCAGTAGAATTCTCAGAAACTACTTTGTGTTGTTTGCTTTCAACTCACAGAGATGAACCTTCCTTTAGATAGAGCCGTTTTGAAACAATCTTTTTGTAGAGTTTCCAAGAGGATATTTAGTGCCGTTTGAGGCCTATGGTATAAAATGAAATAACTTCATAGAAAAACTAGACAGAATTATTCTCAGAAACTACTTTGTGGTGTGTGCGTTCAACTCAAAGAGTTTAACCTTTCCTTTGATAGTGCAGTTTTGAAACACTCTTTTTGTAGAATCAACAACTGAATATTTGAACTTTTTTGAAGCCTTCATTGGAAACGGGATTTCTTCATACAAAAGTTGACAGAAGAATTCTCAGAAACTTCTATGTGATGTGTGCATTCAAGTCCCAGAGTTGAACCTTCCTTTCAATAGAGCAGCTTTGAAATACACTTTTTCCAGAATTTACAAGTGGATATTAAGAGCGGTTTGGGGTCTGTTGTAGAAAAGTAAATATCTTCATAGTAATACTAGACAGAATCATTATCAGAAACTATTTTGTGATGTGTGCATTCACTTTACAGAGTTTAACCGTTCTTTGATAGAGCAGTTTTGAAACACTGTTTTTGTGGAATTTGCAAGTGTATATTTAGAGCGCTTTGAGACCAACGGTAGAAAAGGAAATATCTTCACATAAAAACTAGACAGAAGCATTCTCAGAAACTCCTTTGTATTGTTTGCATTCAACTGACAGAGTTGAACATTACTCTTGATAGAGCAGTTTTGAAACACTATTTTGTAAAATCTGCAAGTGAATATTTGGAATTTTTTGAGGCCTACGTTGGAAACTGGATTTCTTCATATAAAATTTGACAGAAGAATTATCAGAAACTACTTTGTGATGTCTGCATTCAACTCACAGCGTTGAACCTTCCTATCGGTAGAGCAGTTTTGAAATACTCTTTTTGTAGAATTTCCAAGTGGAGATTTAGAACGGTTTGAGGCCTATGGTAGAAAAGGAAATATCTTCACATGAAAACCAGACGGAAGCATAGTCAGAAACGTTTTGATGTTTGCATTCAACTCACCGAGTTGAACATTCCTGTTGATAGAGCAGTTTTGAAACACTCTTTTCGAAGAATCTGCAAGTGGATATTTGGACCTTTTGGGACCTTCATTTGAAACGTGATTCCTTTATATAAAACTGACAGAAGAATTCTCAGAATCTTCTTTGTGATGTGTGCTTTCAACTCACAGATTTGAACCATCGTTTCGATAGAATAGCTTTGAAACGCTCTTTTTGTAGAATTTCCAGTTGGATATTTAACCCCGTTTGAGGCCTATGGTAGAAAACCCAATATCTTCATAGAAAAACTTGAGACAATGATTTTCAGAAACTACTTTGTGATGTGTGCGTTAAACTCGCAGAGTTTAACCTTTCTTTTGACAGAACAGTTTTGAAACACACTTTTTGTAGAGTCTGCAAGTGAACATTTGACCTTTTTGGGGCCTTCGTTGGAAACGGGATTTCTTCATGTAAAACTTGATAGAACAATTCTCAGAAACTCCTTTGTGATGTGTGCATTCAGCTCACAGAGTTGAACCTTCCTTTCGAAAGAGAAGTTTTCAAATATTCTTTTGCAGAATTTCCAAGCGGATATTTAGAGCGGTTTGTGGCCTACGGTAGAAAAGGAAATATCTTCATAGAAAACCTAGACAGAATAATTCTCAGAAACTACATTTTGATGTGTGCATTCAGCTTATAGAGTTTAACACTTCTTTTGATAGAGCAGTTTTGAAACACTCTTTTTGTGAAATTTGCAAGTATATATTTAGAGCGCTTCTTGGCCTAAGGTAGAAATGGAAATATCTTCACATAAATACTAGACAGAAGCATTGTCAGAAACTTCTTTGTGATATTTGCATTAAACTAACAGAGATGAACATTCCTCTTGACAGAGCAGTTTTGAAACACTCTTTTTGAAGAATCTGCAGGTGGATATTTGGAACTCTTGTTTACCTTCGTTTGAAACGAGATTTTTTCATATAAAACTAGACAGAAGAATTTTCAGAAACTTCTTTGTGATGTGTGCTTTCAACTCACAGAGTTGAACCTTCCTTTTGATAGAATAGTTTTGAAACTCTCTTTTTGTAGAATTTCCAAGTAGATATTTAGCGCCGTTGGAGGCCTATGTTAGAAAAGGCAATATCTTCATAGAAAAACTAGATAGAGTGATTCTCAGAAACTATTTTGTGATGTGTGCGGTCAACTCACAGAATTTAACCTTTCTTTTGAAAGAGCAGTTTTGAAACACTATTTTTGTGGAATTTGCAAGTGCATATTTACAGCGCTTTGAGGCCTATGGTAGAAAAGGAAAAACCTTCACATAAAAACTACACAGAGGCATTATCAGAAACTACTTTGCGATATTTGCATTCAAGCCACAGAGTTGAACATTCCTCTTGATGGAGCAGTTTTGAAACACTCTTTTTGTAGAATCTGCAATTGGGTATTTGGACCCCTTTGTAGCCTTCGTTTGAAACGTGATTTCTTCATATAAAACTAGACAGAAGAATTCTCAGAAACTTCTTTGTCATGTGTGCTTTCAACTCACTGGGTTGAACCTTCTTTTCGATACAGCAGTTTTGAAGCTCACTTTCTCTAGAATTTCCAAGCGGATATTTAGTGCCGTTTGATGCCTATGGTAGAAAAGGCAATAATTTCATAGAAAAACTAGACAGAAGGAATCTCAGAAACTACTTTGTGATGTGTGCATTCAACTCACAGAGTTTAAAATTTCTTTTGATAGAGCTGTTTTGAAACACTCTTTTTGTAGAATCTGCAAGTGAATATTTGGGCTTTTTGGAGGCCTTCATTGGAAACGTGATTTCTTCATATAAAACTTGACAGAGGAATTATCAGAAACTTCTTTTTGATGTGTGCATTCTACTCACAGAGTTGAACCTTCCTTTTGATAGAGCAGTTTTGAAATAATCTTTTTGTAGAAATTCCAAGTGGATATTTAGAGCGGTTTTGGGCCTGTGGTAGGCAAGGAAATATCTTCATGGAAAAACTAGCCAGATTCATTCTCAGAAACTGCTTTGTGATGTGTGCATTCTATACGCCGAGTTTAACCTTCCTCTTAATAGAGTAGTTCTGAAACGCTCTTTTTGTAGCATTTGCAAGTGTGTATTTAGAGGGCTTTGAGGCCTACAGTAGAAAAGGAAATATCTTCATATAAAAACTAGACAGAAGCATTCTCAGAAACTACTTTGTGATGTTTTCATTCAACTCACAGAGTTCAACCTTCCCTTTGATAGAGCAGTTTTGAAACACTCTTTCTGTAGAATCTTCAAGTGGATATTTGGACCTCTTTGAGGTCTTCGTTGGTAACGGATATTTCTTCACATAAATACTAGACAGAAGAATTCTCAGAGAGATTTGTGATTTGTGCCTTCAACTCACAGAGTTGAACCTTCCTTACGATATTGCAGTTTGATACACTCTTTTTGTAGAATTTCCACGTGGATATTTAGAGGGCTTTTCAAAGCCTACGGTTGAAAAGGATATATCTTCATATAAAAACTACACAGAATCATTCTCAGAAGCTACTTTGTGATGTGTGCATTCAACTCACAGAGTTTAACCTTTCTTTTCATAGAGCAGTTTTGGAACACTCTGTTTGTAAAGTCTGCATCTGGATATTTGGAGCGCTTTGAGGTTTTTTTGGAAACGGGAATTTCTTCACATAAAAAGTAGACAGAAGTATTCTCAGAAACTTCTTTGTGATGTCTGTACTCAGCTCTCAGAGGTGAAACTTCCTTTTGATAGAGCAGTTTTGAAAAACTCTTTTTGTAGCGTTTGCAAGAGGATATTTAGAGCGCTTTGAGGCCTGCAGTAGGAAAGAAAATATCTTCACATAAAAACTAGACAAGCATTCTCAGAAACTACTTTTTGATGTTTGCATTCAAATTACAGAGTTGAACATTCCTCTTTATACAGCAGTTTTGAAACATCCTTTTTGTAGGATCTGCAAGTGGATATTTGGACCGCATTGAGGGCTTCGTTGGAAATGGGATTTCTTCATATAAAACTAGACAGAAGAATTCTCAGAAACTTCTTTGTGATGTGTGCATTCAACTCACAGAGTTGAACCTTCATTTTGATAGAGCAGATTTGAAACACACTTTTTCTAGAATTTCCATGTGGATATTTAGAGCTCTTTGAATCCTATGGTAGAAAAGGAAATACCTTCATTTAAAAACTAGAGAGAATCATTCCCAGAAACTACTTTGTAATGTTTGGGTTCCACTCACAGTGTTTAACCTTTCTTTTGATATAGCAGTTTTGAAACACTCCGTATGAAATGTCTGCATCTTGATATTTGGAGCGCTTTGAGGTTTTCATTATAAACTAGAATATCTTCACATAAAAAGTAGACAGAAATGATCTGAGAAACGTCTTTGTGATGTCTGTACTCAACTCACAGAGGTGAATCTTCCTTTTGATAGAGCAGTATTGAAACACTCTTTTTGTAGAATTTGCAAGTGTGTATTTAGAGGGCTTTGAGGCTTATGGTAGAAAAGGGAATATCTTCTCATAAAAACTAGACAGAAGCATTTTCAGAAACTACTTTGTGATGTTTGCATTCAACTAACAGAATTGAACATTCCTCTTGATAGAGCAGTCTTGAAACACTTTTTTTGTAGAATTTGCAAATGGGTATTTAGGGCGCTTTGAGGCCTGTGGTAGAAAAGGAAATATCTTCATATAAAAACGAGACGGAATCATTATCAGAAAATATTTTGTGATGTGTGCATTCAACTCACTGAGTTTAACCTTTCTTTTTATAGAGCAGTTTTGAAACACTCTTTTTGGAGAATTTGCAAGTGTGTATTTAGAGCGCTTTGAGGCCTATGTTAGAAAAGGAAATATCTTTCCATAAAAACTAGACAGAAGCATTCTCAGAAACTAATTTGTGATGTTTGCATTCAACTCACAGAGTTGAACATTCCTCTTGATAGAGCAGTTTTGAAACACTCTTTTTGTAGAATCTGCAAGTGGATATTTGGACCAGTCTGAGACCTTCGTTGGAAACGGGATTTCTTCAAATAAAATTAGACAGAAGAATTGTCAGCAACTTCTTTGTGATGCGTGCATTCAACTCACAGAGTTGAACGTTCCTTTTGATTGAGCAGATTAGAAACACTCTTTTTGTAGAATTTCCAAGTTGATATTTAGATCGCTTTGAACCCTATGGTAGATAAGGAAATATCTTCATATAAAAATAATCAGAATGATTCCCAGAAACTGCTTTGTGATGTTTGTGTTCAACTCACAGAGTTTAACCTTTCTTTTGATAGAGCAGTTTTGAGACACTCTTTTTGAAAATTCTCCATCTTGAGATTTGGAGTGCTTTGAGGTTTTCATCATAAACTTGAATATCTTCACATAAAAAGTAGACAGAAGTATTCTCAGAAACGTCTTTGTGATGTCTGTACTCAACTCACAGAGGTGAAACTTTCTTTTGATAGAGCAGTTTTGAAACACTCTTTTTGCAGAATTTGCAAGTGTGTATTTTGAGAGCTTTGAGGCCTATGGTTCAAAAGTGAATATCTTCACATAAAAACTAGAGAGAAGCATTCTCAGAAACTACTTTGTGATGTTCGCATTCAACTAACATAATTGAACATTCCTCTTGATACAGCAGTTTTGAAACACTCTTTTTGTAGAATCTGCAAGTGGATATTTGGACCTCTTTGAGACCTTCGTTGGAAACGGGATTTCTTCAAATAAAACCAGACAGAAGAATTGTCAGAAACTTCTTTGTGATGCGTGCATTCAACTGACAGAGTTGAACCTTCCTTTTGATAGTTCAGATGTGAAACACTCTTTTTGTAGAATTTCCAAGTGGATATTTAGAGCACTTTGTATACTATGGTAGAAAAGGAAGTATCTTCATATAAAGACTTGACAGAATCATTCCCAGAAACTGGTTTGTGACGTTTGAGTTCAACTCACAGAGTTTAACCTTTATTTTGATAGAGCAGTTTTGAAACACTCTGTTTTCAAAGTCTCCATCTGGATATGTGGAGCGCTTTGAGGTTTTCTTTGGAAACGGGAATATCTCCACATAAAAAGTAGACAGAAGTATTCTCTGAAAATTCTTTGTGATGTCTGTACTCAACTCACAGAGGTGAACCTTCCTTTTGACAGAGCAGTTTTGAATGTCTCTTTTTGTAGAGTTTGCAAGTGGATATTTAGAGCTCTTTGAGGCCTATTGTAGAAAAGGAAATATCTTCACATAAAAACTACACAGAAGCATTCTCAGAAACCGCTTTGTGATGTTTACATTCAACTCACAGAGTTGAACATTCCTCTTTATGTAGCAGTTTTGAAACACTCTTTTTGTAGAATCTGCAAGTGGATATTTGGACCTCTTTGAGGCCTTCGTTAGAAACGGGATTTCTTCATATTAAACTTGACAGAAGAATTCTCAGAAAGTTCTTTGTGATGTGTGCATTCAACTCACACAGTTGAACCTTCATTTTGATAGAGTAGATATGAAACACTCTTTTTGCAGAATTTCCAAGTGGATATTTAGAACGCTTTGAATCCTATGGTAGAAAAGTAAATATCCTCATATAAACACTAGACAGAATCATTCCCAGAAACTGCTCTGTGATGTGTGCGTTCAACTCACTGAGTTTAACCATTCTTTTGATAGAGGAGTTTTGAAACACTCTTTTTGTATAATTTGCAAGTGTGTATTTTGAGTGCTTTGAAGTCTATGGTAGAGAAGGAAATATCTTCACATAAAACACGAAACAGAAGTATTCTCAGAAACTGCTTTGTGATGTTCGCATTCAACTCACAGAGTTGAACATTCCAATTGACAGAGCAGTTTTGAAACACTCTTTTTGTAGAATCTCCTAGTGGATATTTGGACCACTATGAGGCCTTCATTGGAAACAGGATTTCTTCATATAAAACTAGACAGAAGAATTCTCAGAACCTTTTTTGTGATGTGTGCATCCAACTCACAGAGCTGAACATTCCTTTTGATAGAGCAGATTTGAAACACTCTTTTTGTATAATTTCCAAGAGAATATTTAGAGCACATTGAATCCTATGGTTCAAAAGGGAATATCTTCATACAAAAACTAGACAGAATCATTCCCAGAAACTACTATGTGATGTGTGCATTCAACTGACAGAGTTTAACCTTCCTTTCGATAGAGCTGTTTTGAAATACTCTTTTTGCAGTATTTCAAAGTGGATATTTAGAACGGTTTAGGCCTGTTTTATACAAGGAAATATCTTCATAGAAAAACTAGACAGAATAATTCTCAGAAACTACATTGTGATGTGTGCATTCAGCTTACTGAGTTTAAGCTTTCTTTTGATAGAGCAGTTTTGAAACACTCATTTTGTGGAATTTTCTAGTGTATATTTAGAGCGCTTTGAGGCCTAAGGTAGAAAAGGAAATATCTTCACATAAAAACTAGACAAAAACATTGTCAGAATCTATTTTGTGACATTTGTATTCAACTCACAGAGTTGAAAATTCCTTTTGATAGAGCAGTTTTGAAACACTCTTTTTGTAGAATCTACAAGTGGATATTTGAACCTCTTTGTGGCCTTCATTTCAAACATGATTTCTTCATACAAAACTAGACTGAAGAACTCTCAGAACCTTCTTTGTGATGTGTGCTTTCAACTCACACAGTTGAAACTTTCTTTTGATAGAGCAGTTTTGAAACTCTCTTTTTTGTAGAATTTCCAAGTGGATATTTAGCACCGTTTGAGGCCTATGTTAGAAAAGGAAATATCTTCTTAGAAAAACTAGATAGAATGATTCTGAGAAACTACTTTGGGATGTGTGCTTACGACTCACAGAGTTTAACCTTTCTTTGGATAGAGCTTTTTTGAAACAGTCTTTTTGTAGAATCTACAAGTGAATATTTGGACTTTTGGAGGCCTTCCTTGGAAACGGGATTTCTTCATAGAAAACTTGACAGAAGAATTCTCAGAAACTTCTATGTGATGTGCGCATTCAACTCACAGAGTTAAACCTTCCTTTCAATAGAGAAGTTTTGAAATACTCCTCTTTTGTAGAATTTCCATGTGGATATTTAGAGCTGTTTGAGGCCTATGGTAGAAAAAGAAATATCTTCTTAGAAAAATTAGAGAGAATCATTCTCAGAAACTGATTTGTGATGTGTGCTTTCAGCTTACAAAGTTTAACCTTTCTTTTGATAGAGCAGTTTTGAAACACTCTTTTTGTGGAATTTTCATGTGTATATTTACAGCGCTTTCAGGCCTACGGTAGAAAAGTAAGTATCTTCATATAAAAACCAGACAGAAGCATTGACGGAAACTATTTTGTGATATTTGCATTCAAATCACAGAGTTGAACACACCTCTTGAGAGAGCAGTTTTGAAACACTCTTTTTGTAGAATCTGCCAGTGGATATTTGGACTTCTTCATGTCCTTCGTTTGAAACGTGATTTCTTCATCTAAAACTAGACAGAACAATTCTCAGAAACTTCTTTGTGATGTATGCTTTCAACTCACAGAGTTGAACATTCCTTTCGATAGAGGAGTTTTGAAAGTCTCTTTTTGTAGAATTTCCAAGTGGATATTTAGCGCCGTTTGGGGCCTATGGTAGAAAAGGAAATATCTTCATACAAAAACTAGACAGAATGATTCTCAGAAAAGACTTTGTCATGTGTACGGTCAACTCACAGAGTTTAACTTTTCTTTTGATAGAGCCGTTTTGAAACACTCTTTTTGTAGAATCAGCATTGAAAATTTGGACTTTTTTGGGACCTCCGTTGGAAACGGGATTTCTTCATTGAAATGTGACAGAAGAATTCTCCGAAACTTCTTTGGGATGTGTGCATTCAACTCACAGTGTTGAACCCTTCTTTCGATAGAGCAGTTTTGAAATACTCTTTTTGTAGGATTTCCAAGTGGATAATCAGAGCGGTTTCAGTCCTGTGGTAGAAAAGGAAATATCTTTATAGAAAAACTAGACAGAATCATTCTCTGAAACTACTTTGTGAAGTGTGCATTCGGGTTACAGAGTCTAACCGTTCTTTTTATAGAGCAGTTTAGATTCACTCTTTTTGTGGGGTTTGCTAGTGTATATTTACAGCGCTTTGAGGCCGATGGAAGAAAAGGAAATATCTTCACATAAAAACTAGACAGAAGCACTGTCATAGACTACTTTGTGATATTTGATTCAACTTACAGAATTGAACATTCCTCTTGATAGAGCAGTTTTGAAACACTCTTTTTGTAGAATCTGCAAGTGGATATTTGAAGCTCTTTGTGGCCTTCTTTTGAAACGTGATTTCTTCATATGAAAATAGAAAAATTCTCAGAAAGTTCTTTGTGATGTGTGCTTTCAACTCACAGAGTTGAACCTTCCTTTCGATAGAGCAGTTTTGAAACTCTCTTTTTGTTGACTTTCCAAGTGGATATTTTGCGCTGTTTGAGGCCTATGGTAGAAAAGGCTATATCTTCATAGAAAAATTAGACAGAATGATTCCCAGAAACTACATCGTGCTGTGAGCGTTCAACTCACAGTGTTTAATCTTTCCTTTGATAGAGCGGTTTTAAAACACTGTTTTTGTAGAATCTGCAAGTGAATATTTGGAGTTTTGGGGGCCTTCGTTGGAAACGGGATTTCTTCATATAAAATGTGACAGAAGAATTCTCAGAAACTTCTTTGTGATGTGTGCATTCAAATCACACAATTGAACCTTCCTTTTGATAGAGCACTTTCATAGAAAAACAAGACAGAATCATTCTCAGAAACTACTTTGGGATGTGTGCATTCAGCTTACAGGGTTTAACATTATTTTGAAAGAGCAGGTTTGAAACCCTCTTTCTGTTGAGTTTGCTAATGTATATTTAGAGCGCTTTGAGGCCTATGGTAGAAATGCAAATACCTTCACATAAAATCTACACAGAAGCATAGTCAGAAACTCCTTTGTGATATTTGAATTCAACTCACAGAGTTGAACATTCCTCTTGATAGAGCAGTTTGAAACACTCCTTTTCAGGACCTGCAAGTGGGTATTTGGACCTCTTTCTGGCCTTCTTTTTTATCGTGATTTCTTCATATAAAACTAGACAGAAGAATTCTCAGAAACTTCTTTGCGATGTGTGCTTTCAACTCACAGAGATGAACCTTCCTTTCGATAGAGCAGTATTGAAACTGTCCTTTTGTAGAATTTCGAAGTGGATATTTAGCGCCATTTGAGGCCTAAGGAACAAAAGGCAATATCTTCATAGAAAAAATAGAATGATTCTCAGAAACTACTTTGTCATGTGTGCGTTAAACTCATAGAGTTTAACTTTCTTTTGATAGAGCAGTTTTGAAACACTCTTTTTGTAGAATCTGCAAGTGAATATTTGGACCTTTTGGTGGCCTTCGTTGGAAACGGGATTTCTCCATATAAAACGTGACAGAAGAATTCTCAGACACTTCTTTGTGATGTGTGCATTCAACTCACAGAGCTGAATCTCCCTTTCGATAGAGCAGTTTTGAAATACTCTTTTGGTAGAATTTCGAAGTGGATATTTAAAGCGGTTTGAGGACTTTGGTAGAAAAGGAAATATCTTCATAGAAAAACTAGACAAAATCATTGTCAGAAACTACTTTGTGCTGTGGACATTCACCCTACAGAGTTTAACCTTTCTTTTGATAGAGCAGTTTTGAAACACTCTTTTTGAGGAATTTGCAAGTGAATATTTAGAGCGCTTTGAGGCCTACGGTAGAAAAGGAAATATCTTCACTTAAAAACTAGACAGAAGCATTTTCAGAAACTACTTTGAGATATTTGCATTCAACTCACACAGTTGAACATTCCTCTTCATAGAGCAGTTTTGAAACACTCTTTTTGTAGAATCTGCAAGCGGATATTTGGACCTTTTTGTGGCCTTCGTTTGAAACGTGATTTCTACATATAAAACTAGAGAGAAGAATTCTCAGAAACTTCGTTGCGACGTGAGCTTTCAACTCACAGTGTTGAACCTTCCTTTCGATGCAGCAGTTTTGAAAATCTATTTTTGTAGAATTTCCAAGTGGATATTTTGCGCCGTTTGAGGCCTATGGTTCAAAAGCCAATATCTTCATAGAAAAACTAGACAGAGTGATTCTCAGAAAGTACTTTGTGATGTGTGCGTTCAAATCACAGAGTTTAACTTTTCTTTTGATAGTATTGAAACTCTCTTTTTGTGGAATTTGCAAGTGTATATTTAGAGCGCTTTGAGGCCTGTGGTAGACAAGGAATTATCTTCACATAAAAACTAGACAGAAGCATTGTCAGAAACTACTGCATGATATTTGCATTCAACTCACAGAGATGAACATTCCTCTTGATAGAGTAGTTTTGAAAAACTCTTTTTGTAGGATCTTCTAGTGAATATTTGGACTTTTGGGGGGCTTTAGTTTGAAACGTGATTTCTTCATATAAAACGTGACAGAAAAATTCTCTGAAACTTCTTCGTGATGTGGGCATTCAACTCAGAGATTTCAACCTATCTTTCGATAGAGCAGATTTGAAATACTCTTTTTGTAGAATTTCCAAGTGGAGATTTCGAGCTGTTTGAGACCTGTAGTAGAAAAGGAAATATCTTCATAGAAAAACTAGACAGAATCATTGTCAGAAACTACTTTGTGATGTGTGCATTCAGCTTACAGAGTTTACCCTTTGTTTTGATAGAGCAGTTTTGTAACAGTTTTTTCAGGATTTTGCAAGCGTATATTTAGAGAACTTTGAGTCCTACGGTAGAAAAGGAAATATCTTCACATAAAAACAAGACAGAAACATTGTCGGGAAACTATTTTGTGATATTTGCATTCAACTCACAAAGTTGAACATTCCTCTTGATAGAGCAGTTTTGAGACACTCTTTTTGTAGAATCTGCAAATGGATATTTTGACCTCTTTGTGGCCTTCGTTTGAAATGATATTTCTTCCTATAAAACTAGACAGAAGAATTCTCAGAAACTTCTTTGTGATGTGTGCTTTCAACTCACAGAGTTGAAACTTCCTTTCGATAGAGCAGTTTTGAAACTCTCTTTTTGTAGAATTTCCAAGAGTATATGTAGCGCCGTTTGAGGCCTATGGTAGAAAAGACAATATCTTCATAGAAAAATTCGACAGAATAATTCTGAGAAACTACTTTGTGATGAGGGCGTTCAACTCACAGAGTTTAACCTTTCTTTTGATAGAGCAGTTTTGAAACACTCTTTTTGTAGAATCTGCGAGTGGATATTTGGACCTCTTTGTGGCCTTCGTTAGAAACGTGATTTCTTCATATAAAACTACACAGAAGAATTCCCAGAAACTTCTTTGTGATGTGTGCTTTCAACTCGAAGAGTTGAAACTTCCTTTCCATAGAGCAGTTTTGAAACTCTCGTTTTGTAGTATTTCCAAGTGGATATTTAGCGCCGCGTGAGGCCTATGGTAGAAAAGTCATTATCTCCATAGAAAAACTATACAGAATGATTCTCAGAAATTCCTTTGTGGTGTGAGCATTTAACTCAAAAAGTTTACCTTTCTTTTGATAGAGCAGTTTTGAAACACTCTTTTTGTAGAATCTGCAAGTGAATATTAGGCGTTTTTGGGGCCTCCGTTGGAAACGGGATTTCTTCAGTTAAAACGTGATAGAAGAATTCTCAGAAACTTCTTTGTCATGTGTGCATTCGATTCACAGAGATGAGCCTTATTTCGATAGAGCAGTTTTGAAATACTCTTTTTGTAAAATTTCCATTTTGATATTTAGTGCGGTTTGATGCCTATGGTAGAAAAGGAAATGCCTTCATAAGAAAAACAAGAGAGAATCATTATCAGAAACTACTTTGTGATGTGTGCATTAAGCTTACAAGCTTTAAACTTTCTTTTTATAGAGCAGTTTTGAATCACTCTTTTTGTGGAATTTGCATGTGTATATTTAGAGTGCTTTGAGACCTACGGCAGAAAAGGAAATATCTTCACATAAAAACTAGACGGAAAAATTGTGAGAAACTACATTGTGATATTTGCATTCAACTCCCAGAGTTGAACATTCCTCTTGATAGAGCCGTTTTGAAACACTCTTTTTGTAGTATCTGCAATTGGATATTTGGAACTCCCTGTGGCCTTCCTTTGAACCTTGATTTCTTCACATAAAACTATACAGAAGAATGCTCAGAAACTTCTTTCTGATATGTGCTTTCAACTCACAGAGTTGAAGCTTCCTTTCGATAGAGCAGTTTTGAAACTTTCTTTTTGTAGTATTTCCAAGTGGATATTTGGCGCCGCTTGAGGCCTATGGTAGAAAAGGCAATACCTTCGAAGAAAAACTAGACAGAATGATTCTCAGAAACTGCTTTGTGATGTGTGCGTTCAAGTCACAGAGATTAACCTTTCTTTTGATAGAGCAGTTTTGAAACACTCTTTTTGTAGGATCTCCAAGTGAATATTTGGACTTTTTTGAGGGCTTCTTTGGAAACAGGATTTCTTCATATAAAACTTGACAGAATAATTCTCAGAAACTTCTTTGGGAGGTGTGCATTCAACTCACACAGTTGAACCTTCCTTTCGATAGAGTAGTTTTGAAATACTCTTTTTGTAGAATTTCCAAGTGGATATTTAATGAGGTTTGAGGCCTATGATAGAAAAGGAAATATCTTCACAGAAAAACCAGATAGAATCATTATAAGAAACTTCTTTGTGATGGGTGCATTCAGCTTACGGAGTTTAACCTTTCTTTTGATAGAGCAGTTTTGAAACACTCTTTTTGAGGAATTTGAAAGTGTATATATAGAGCACTTTAAGGCCTACAGTAGAAAAGTAAATATCTTCACATAAAAACTAGACAGAAGCATTGTTACAAACTACTTTGTGATGTTTGCATTCAACTCACAGAGTTAATCATTCCTCTTAATAGAGCAGTTTTGAAATACTCTTTTTGCAGAATCTGCAAGTGGATATTTGGACTTTTTTGAGGCCTTCGTTGGAAACAGGATCTCTTCATATAAAACTTGACAGAGGAATTGATAGAAACTTCTTTGGGAGCTGTGCATGCAACTCACAGAGTTGAACCTTCCTTTCGATACAGCAGTTTTGAAATACACTTTTTGTAGCATTTAAAGTGGATATTTTGTGCTGTTTGAGGCCTATGGTAGAAAAGGAAATGTCTTCAGAGAAAAACAAGATATGATGGTTATCAGAAACTACTTTGTGATGTGTGCATTCAGCTTACAGAGTTTAACCTTTCTTTTGATAGAGCAGTTTTGAAACACTATTTTTGTGGAATTTCCAAGTGTATATTTAGAGCGCGTTGAGGCCTATGGTGGAAAAGGAAATATCTTCACATAAAAAATAGACAAAAGCATTTTCAGAAACTACTTTGTGATATTGGCATTCAAGTCACAGAGTTGAACATTCCTTTTGAAAGCGCAGTTTGAAACACTCTTTGTGTAGAATCTGCAATTGAATATTTGGTCCTCTTTGTGGCGTTCGATTGAAACGTGATTTCTTCATATAAACAAGACAGAAAAATTCTCAGAAACTTCTTTGTGATGTGTGCTTTCAACTCACAGAGTTGAACCTTGCTTTCGATATAGCAGTTTTGAAACTCTCTTTTTGTAGGACTTCCAAGTGGGTATTTAGCGCCGTTTGAGGCCTATCGTAGAAAAGGCAGTATCTTCAAAAAAAACTAGACAGAATCATTCTCAGAAACTACTTTGTGATGTGTGCGTTCATCTCAAAGGGTTTAACCTTTCTGTTGATAGAGCAGTTTTGAAGCACTCTTTTTGTGGGATCGCAAGTGAATATTTGGACTTTTTTGAATCCTTCGTTGGAAACGGGTTTTCTACATATAAAATTGAACAGAAGAATTCTCAGAATCGTATTTCTGATGTGTGCATTCACCTCACAGGTTTGAACCTTCCTTTCGATAGTGCAGTTTTGGAATAATCTTTTTGTAGAATTTCCAAATGGATATTTAGCACCTTTTGAGGCCTATGGTAGACAAAGAAATATCTTCATAGAAAAACTAGACGAAATCATTCTCAGAAACTACTTTGTGATGTGTACATTCAGCTTACAGAGTTTAATCTTTCTTTTGATAGAGCAGTTTTGAAACACTCTTTCTGTGGAATCTCCAAGTGTATATTTAGATCGCTTTGAGGCCTACGGTAGAAAAGGAAATATCCTCACATAAAACCTAGACAGAAGCATTGTCAGAAACGACTTTGTGATATTTGCATTCACCTCACAGTGTTGAACAGTCCTCTTGATAGAGCCGTTTTGAAATACTCTTTTTGTAGAATCTGCAATTGATTATTTGGACCTCTTTGTGGCCTTCGTTTGAAACGTGCTTTCTTCATATAAAACTAGACAGAAGAACTCTTAGAAACTTCTTTGTGTTGTGTGTTTTCAACTCACAGAGTTGAACCTTCCTTTCCATAGAGCAGTTTAGAAACTCTCTTTTTGTAGAATTTCCAAATGGATATATAGGGCCGTTTGAGGCCTATGGTAGAAGAGGCAATATCTTCATGGAAAAAATTGACGGAATGATTCTCAGAAACTAGTTTGTGATGTGTGCATTCAACTCACAGACTTTAACCTTTCTTTTATAGAGAAGTTTTGAAACACTTTTTTTGTAATATCTGCAACTGAATATTTGGACTTTTTTGAGGCCTTCTTTGGAAACGGGATTTCTTCATATAAAACTTGACAGAAGAATTATCAGAAACTTATTTAGGAGGTGTGCATTCAACTCACAGAGTTGAACCCTCCTTTCGATAGGGCAGTTTTGAAAGACTCTTTTTGTAGAATTTCAAAGTGGATATTTAGTGCGGTTTGAGGCCTATGGTAGAAAAGGAACTATCTTCATAGAAAAACAAGATAGATAGAATTGTTATCAGAAACTACTTTGTGATGTGTGCATTATGCTTACAGTGTTTAACCTTTTTTTTGATAGAGCAGTTTTGAAACACTCTTTTCGTGGAATTTGCAAGTGTGTATTTAGAGCGATTTGAGGCCTACAATAGGAAAGGAAATATCTTCACTTAAAAACTAGACAGAAGCATTGTCAGAAACTATTTTGTGATATTTGCATTCAACTCACAGAGTTGAACATTCCTCTTGATAGAGGAGTCTTGAAATACTCTTGTTGTAGAATCTGCAAGTGAATATTTGGACTTTTTTTGATGCCTTCGTTGGAAAGGGGATTTCTTCATATAAAACTTGACAGAAGAATTGTCAGAAACTTATTTAGGAGGTGTGCATTCAACTCACAGAGTTGGACCTTCCTTTTGATAGAGCAGTTTTGAAATACTCTTTTTGTATAATTTTCAAGTGGATATTCAGTGCGGTTTGAGGCCTCTGGTGGAAAAGGAAATGTCTTCAGAAAAAAACAAGGAAGAATCATTTTCAGAAAACACTTTGTGAAGCGTGTATTCAGCTTACAGTGCTTAACCTTTGTTTTGATAGAGCAGTTTTGAAGCACTCTTTTTGTGGGATTTCCAAGTTTAAAGTTGGAGCACTTTGAGGACTACGGTAGGAAAGGAAATATCTTCACTTAAAAACTAGACAGAAGCATTGTCAGAAATTCCTTTGTGATGTGTGCATTCAGTTTATAGAGTGTAACATTTCTTTTTATAGAGCAGTTTTGAAACACACTTTTTGTGGAATTTGCAAATGAATATTTAGAGCACTTTGAGGCCTACAGTAGAAAAGTAAATATGTTCACACAAAAACTAGACAGAAACATTGTCAGAAACCACTTTGTGATATTTGCATTCAACTCACAGTGTTGAACATTCCTCTTGATAGAGCAGTTTTGAAATACTCTTTTTGTAGAATCTGCAATTGATTATTTGGACCTCTTTGTGGCCTTCGTTTGAAACGTGCTTTCTTCATATAAAACTAGACAGAAGAACTCTTAGAAACTTCTTTGTGTTGTGTGTTTTCAACTCACAGAGTTGAACCTTCCTTTCCATAGAGCAGTTTAGAAACTCTCTTTTTGTAGAATTTCCAAATGGATATATAGGGCCGTTTGAGGCCTATGGTAGAAGAGGCAATATCTTCATGGAAAAAATTGACGGAATGATTCTCAGAAACTAGTTTGTGATGTGTGCATTCAACTCACAGACTTTAACCTTTCTTTTATAGAGAAGTTTTGAAACACTTTTTTTGTAATATCTGCAACTGAATATTTGGACTTTTTTGAGGCCTTCTTTGGAAATGGGATTTCCTCATATAAAACTTGACAGAAGAATTCTCAGAAACGTATTTAGGAGGTGTGCATTCAACTCACAGTGTTGAACCCTCCTTTCGATAGGGCAGTTTTGAAAGACTCTTTTTGTAGAATTTCAAAGTGGATATTTAGTGCGGTTTGAGGCCTATGGTAGAAAAGGAACTATCTTCATAGAAAAACAACATAGAATCGTTATCAGAAACTACTTTGTGATGTGTGCATTATGCTTACAGTGTTTAACCTTTATTTTGATAGAGCAGTTTTGAAACGCTCTTTTCGTGGAATTTGCAAGTGTGTATTTAGAGCGATTTGAGGCCTATGGTAGAAAAGGAAATATCTTCACTTAAAAACTAGACAGAAGCATTGTCTGAAATTACTTTGTGATATTTGCATTCAACTCACAGAGTTGAACATTCCTCTTGATAGAGGAGTCTTGAAATACTCTTGTTGTAGAATCTGCAAGTGAATATTTGGTCTTTTTTGAGGCCTTCGTTGGAAAGGGGATTTCTTCATATAAAACCTGACAGAAGAATTGTCAGAAACTTATTTAGGAGGTGTGCGTTCAACTCACAGAGTTGGACCTTCCTTTTTTTGATAGAGCAGTTTTGAAATACTCTTTTTGTATAATTTTCAAGTGGATATTTAGTACGGTTTGAGGCCTCTGGTGGAAAAGGAAATGTCTTCAGAAAAAACAAGGAAGAATCATTTTCAGAAAACACTTTGTGAAGTGTGTATTCAGCGTACAGTGCTTAACCTTTTTGATAGAGTAGTTTTGAAGCACTCTTTTTGTGGAATTTCCAAGTTTAAAGTTGGAGCACTTTGAGGGCTACGGTAGAAAAGGAAATATCTTCACTTAAAAACTAGACAGAAGCATTGTCAGAAATTCCTTTGTGATGTGTGCATTCAGTTTATAGAGTGTAACATTTCTTTTTATAGAGCAGTTTTGAAACACACTTTTTGTGGAATTTGCAAATGAATATTTAGAGCACTTTGAGGCCTACAGTAGAAAAGTAAATATGTTCACACAAAAACTAGACAGAAGCATTGTCAGAAACCACTTTGTGATATTTGCATTCAACTCACAGTGTTGAACATTCCTCTTGATAGAGCAGTTTTGAAAGACTCTTTTTTTAGAATCTGCAAGTGAATGTTTGCGTTTTTTGAGGCCTTCGTTGGAAACGGGATTTCTTCATATAAAATTTGACAGAGGAATTCCCAGAAACTTCTGTGTGATGTGTGCATTCAATTCACAGTGTTGAACATTCCTTTCAATAGAGCAGTGTTGAAATACTCTTTTTGCAGGATTTCCTAGTGTATAGTTTTGGCGGTTTTCAGGCCAGTGGTATAAAAGGAAATATCTTCTTAGAAACACTAGACAGAATCATCCTGAGAAACTAGTTTGTGTTGTGTGCTTTCAGCTTACAGAATTTAACATTTCTTTTGATAGAGCAGTTTTGAAACACTCTTTTTGTGGAATTTGTAAGTGTATATTTAGAGTGCTTTGAGGCCTACGGTAGAAAAGGAAATATCTTCACAAAAAAACTCGACAGAAGCATTGTCAGAAACTAGTTTGCGATATTTGCAATCAACTCACAGAGTTGAAAATTTCTCTTTATAGAGCAGTTTAGAAACACTCTTTTTGTAGAATCTGCAAGTGGATAATTGGAACTATTTGTGGCCTTCGTTTGAAACGTGGTTTCTTCATATAAAATTAGACAGAAGAAATATCACAAAGTTATTTCTGTTGTGTGCTTTCAACTCACAGTGTTGAACCTTCCTTTTGATGGAGCAGTTTTGAAACTCTCTTTTTGTAAGATTTCCAAATGGATATTTAGCGCTGTTTGAGGCCTATGGTTGAAAAGGCGATATCTTCATAGAAAAACTGGACAGAATGATTCTTAGAAACTACTTTGTGATGTGTGCATTCAATTCACAGAGTTTCACCTTTCTTTTGATAGAGCAGTTTTGAAAAGCTCTTTTTGTAGAATCTGCAAGTGAATATTTGGACTTTTTTGAGGCCTTCGTAGGAAAGGGGATTTCTTCATATAAAACTTGACAGAAGAATTCCCAGAAACTTCTTTGTGATGTGTGCATTTATCTTACAGATTTGAATCTTCCTTTCGATAGAGCAGTTTTGAAATACTCTTTTTGTAGAATTTCCAAGCGGATATTAAGTATGGTTTGAGGCCTATGGTAGAACAGTAAATACCTTCAGTGAAAAACTAGACAGAGTAATTCTCAGAAACTACTTTGTGATGTGTGCATTCAGATTACCGAGTTTAACCTGTGTTTTTATAGAGGAGTTTGAAACACTCTTTTTGTGTAATTTGCAAGTCTATATTTAGAGAGCTTTGTGGCCTACAATAGAAAATGATATATTTTCACATAAAAGCTAGAAAGAAGCTTTGTCAGAAACTATTTTGGATATTTGCATTCAACTCACAGAGTTGAACTTTCCTCTTGATAGAGCAGTTTTGAAACACTCTTTTTGTAGAATCTGCAAGAGGACATTTGATCCTCTTCCTGGCCTTCTTTTGAAACGTTAACTCTTCATATAAAAGTAGACAGAAGAATTCTCAGAAACTTTTTTGTGATGTGTGCATTCAAGTCACAGAGTTGAACCTTCCTTTCAATAGAGCAGTTTCGAAATACTCTTTTTGTAGAATTTCCAATTGGATATTTAGTGCCATTTCAGGACTATGGTAGAAAAGGCAATATCTTCATAGAAAAACTAGACAGAATGTTTGTCAGAAACTACTTTGGAATGTGTGCGTTCAACACACACAGTTAAACCGTTCTTTTGATAGGGTAGTTTTTAAGAACTCTGTTTGTAGTATATGCAAGTGAATATTTGGCCTTTTTGGAGGACTTCGTAGGAGACGGGATTTCGTAACATAAAAGTTGACTGAAGAATTCTCAGAACCTACTTTATGATGTGTTGATTCAACTCACAGAGTTGAACCTCCCTTTCGATAGAGGAGTTTTGAAATACTCTTTTTGTAGTATTTCCAACTGAATATTTAGAGCGGTGTGAGACCTATGGTAGAAAAGGAAATATCTTCATAGAAAACCTAGGCAGAGTCATTCTCAGAAACTACTTTGTGATGTGTGTATTCAGCTTACAGAGTTTAACCTTTCTTTTGATAGAGAAGTTTTGAAACACTCTTTTTGCAGAATTTGAAAGTGTATATTTAGAGCGATTTGAGGCCAAGGGTAGAAAAGGAAATATCTTCACATAAAAACTAGACAGAAGTATTGTCAGAAACTTATTTGTGATATTTGCATTCAACGCACAGAGTTGAACATTCCTCTTGATGGAGCAGTTTTGAAACACTCTTTTTGTAGAATCTGCAAGTGGATGTTTGGACCTCTTTGTGGCCTTCGTTTGAAACGTGATTTCTTCATTTACAAGTAGACAGAAGAATTCTCAGAAACTTCTTTGTGGTGTGTACCTTCAACGCACAGAGTTGAAGCTTCCTTTCAATAGAGCACTTTTGAAACTCAGTTTTTGTAGAATTTCCAGGTGGATATTTAGCGCCGTTTGAGGCCTATGGTAGAAAAGGCAATATCTTCGTAGGAAAACTAGACAGAATGATTCTCAGAAACTACTTTGTGATGTGTGGGTTCAACTCACTGAGTTTAACCTTTCTTTTGATAGACCAGTTATGAAACACTCTTTTTGTAGAATCTGCAAGTAAATATTTGGACTTTTTTGAGGCCTTCATTGGAAACGGGATTTCTTCATATAAACCTTGACAGAAGAATTCTCAGAAACTTCTTTGTGATGCGTGCATTTAACTCTCAGAGTTCAACCTTCCTTTTGATAGAAGAGTGTTGAAATATTCTTTTTGTAGAATTTCCAAGTGGATATTTGGACCAATTTGTGGCCTTCGTTTGAAAAGTGATTCCTAATACAAAACAAGACAGAATAATTGTCAGAAACTTCTTTGTGATGTGTGCTTTCAACTCACAGAGTTGAACCTTCCTTTCGATAGAGCAGTTTTGAAACTCTCTTTTTGTAGAATTTCCAAGTGGATATTTAGCGCCGTTTGAGTACTATGGTAGAAAAGGCAATATCTTCATAGAAAAACTAGACAAAATGATTCTCAGAAACTACTTTGTGGTGTGTGCGTTCAAGCCACCTTGTTTAAACTTTCTTTTGATAGAGCAGGTTTGAGAAACTCTTTTTGTAGAATCTGCGAGTGAATATTTGGATTTTTTGAGGCCTTCATTGGAAACGGGTTTTCTTTATATAAAACTTGACAGAAGAATTCTCAGAAACTTCTTTGTGATGTGTGCATTCCACATACAGAGTTGAACCTTCCTTTCGATAGAGCAGTTTTGAAATACTCTTTTTGTTGAATTTCCAGGTGGATATTTAGAGTGGAATGAGGCCTGTGGTAGAAAAAGGAATACCCTCACTGATAAACTAGACAGAATCATTATCAGAAACTACTTATTGATGTGTGCATTCAGCTTAAAGAGTTTAACCTTTCTTTTGATAGAGCAGTATTGAACCCCTCTTTTTGTGGAATTTGCAAGTGTCTCTTTAGAGCGTTTTGAGGCCTACAGTAGGAAAGGAAATATCTTCACATAAAAACTAGACGGAAGTATTGTCAGAAACTTATTTGTGATATTTGCATTCAACGCACAGAGTTGAACATTCCTCTTGATAGAACAGTTTTGAAACTCTCTTTTTGTAGAATCTGCATGTGGATATTTGGACCTCTTTGTGTCCTTCGTTTGAAACGTGATTTCCTCAAATATAACTAGACAGAAGAATTCTCAGAAACTTCTTGTGAAGTGTGCTTTCAACTCACAGAGTTGAACCTTCCTTTCAATAGAGCAGTTTTGAAACTCCCATTATGTAGAATTTCCAAGTGGATGTTTATTGCCTATTGAGGCCTATGGTAGAAAAGGCAATATCTTCATTGAAAAACTAGACAGAATGATTCTCAGAAACTACTTTGTGGTGTGTGCATTCAACTCCAAGAGTTTAACCTTTCTTTTGATAGAGCAGTTTTGAAACAGCCTTTTGTAGAATCTGGAAGTGAATATTTGGAATTCTGGGAGGCCTTCGTTGGAAATGGGATTTCTTCATATAAAAGGTTACAGAAGAATTCTCAGAAACTTCTTTTTGATATGTGCATTCAACTCACAGAGTTGAACCTTCCTTTCGATATAACAGTGTTGAGATACTGTTTGTAGAATTTCCAAGTGGATATTTATAGCGGTTTGAGGCCTGTGGTAGAAAAGGGAATATCTTCATAGATAAACTAGACAGAATCACTGTCAGAAAGTGCTTTGTGATTTGTGCATTCCGCTTACAGAGTTTAAAATTCCTTTTGATAGAACAGTTTTGAAACACTCTTTTTGTGGAATTTGAAAGTTTATATTTAGAGAGCTTTGAGGCCAACTGTAGAAAAGGATTTATCTTCACATAAAAATTAGACAGAAGCATTGTCAGAAACTACAACGTGATATTTGCATTCAACTCACAGAGTTGAACGTTCCTCTTGATAGAGCAGTCTTGAAACACTGTTTTTGTAGTATTTGTGAGGGGATATTTGGACCTCTTTGTGGCCTTCGTTTCAAATGTGATTGCTTCATATCAAACTAGACAGAAGAATTCTCAGAACCTTCTTTGTGATGTGTGCTTTCAACTCACAGATTTGAACCTTCCTTTCAAAAGAGCAGTTTTGAAACTCTCTGTTTGTAGTATTTCCAAGAGGATATTTAGTGCTGTTTGAGGCCTATGGAAGAAAAGGCAATATCTTCATAGAAAAACTAGACAGAATGACTCTCAGAAACTACTTTTTGATGTGTGCATTCAACTCACCGAGTTTAACCTTTCGTTTCATAGAGCAGTTTTGAAACACTCTTTTTGTAGAATCTGAAAGTGAATAATCGGATTTTTTGGGGCCTTCTTAGGAAACGAGATTTCTTCTAATAAAACTTGATAGAAGAATTCTCAGGAACTTCTTTGTGATGTGTGCATTCAACTCACAGAGTTGAACATTGCTTTCGATAGAGCAGTTTTGAAAGGCTCTTTCTGAAGAATTTCCAAGTGGAAATTTAGAGCGGTTTGAGGCCTGTGGTAGAAAAGTAAATATCTTCATAGAAAACCCAGACAGAATAATAGTCAGAAACTACTTTGTGATGTGCGCATTCAGCTTACAGAGTTTAACCTTTCTTTTGATAAAGCAGTTTTGAAACACTCTTTTTGTGGAATTTGCAACTCTATATTCAGTGCGCTTTGAGGCCTACGGTACAAAAGGGAATATCTTCACAAAAAAAATAGAAGCAATGTCAGAAACTACTTTGTGATATTTGCATTCAACTCAAACTGTTGAACATTCCTCTTGATAGAGCAGTTTTGAAGCATCTTTTTGTAGAATCTGTAAGTGAATATTTGGACTTTTTTGAGGCCTTCCTTGGAAACGGGATTTCTTCATATAAAATTTGACAGAAGAGTTCTCAGAAACTACTTTTTGATGTGTGCATTCCACTTGCAGATTTGAACCTTCCTTTCAATAGAGCAGTTGTGAAAATCTCTTTTTGTAGTATTTTCAAGTGGATGTTTATCGCCACTTGAGGCATATAGTAGAAAAGGCAGTATGTTCATAGAAAAACTTGACAAAATGATTCTCAGAAACTACTTTGTGATGTGTGCGTTCAGCACACAGAGTTCAAACTTTCTTTTGATAGAGCAATTTTGAAACACTCTTTTTGTAGAATCTGCAAGTGAATGTTTCGGCTTTTTTGAAGCTTCCATTGGAAACGGGATTGCTTCATATAAAACTTGACAAAAGAATTCTCAGAAACTTCTTTGTGATGTGTGCATTGAACTCTCAGAGTTGAAACTTCCTTTCGATAGAGCAGTTTTGAAATACTCTTTTTTTTTTTTTGCATAATTTCCAAGTGGATATTTAGAGCGGTTTGAGGCCTGTGGTGGAAAAGGAAATATCTTCACCTAAAAACTAGACAGAAGCATTGTGAGAAACTACTTTGTGATATTTGCATTCAACTCACAGAGTCAAACATTCCTTGTGATAGAGGAGTTTTGAAACACTCTTTTTGTAGAATCTGGAAGTGGATATTTGGACCTCTTAGTGGCCTTCGTTTGAAACTTGATTTCTTCATATAAAACTAGACAGAAAATTTCTCAGAAACTTCTTTGTGATGTGTGCTTTCAACTCACGGTGTTGAACCTTCCTTTCGATAGAGCAGTTTTGAAATACTCTTTTTGTAGAATTTCCAATTGGATATTTAGAGCGGTTTGAGGCCTGTGGTAGAAAAGGAAATATCTTCATAGAAAAACTACACAGAATCATTCTCAGAAACTACTTTGTGTTGTGTGCATTCAGCTTACAGAATTTAACCTTTCTTTTGATAGAGCAGTTTTTAAACATTCCTTTTGTGGAATTTGCATGTGTATATTTAGAGCGCTTTGAGGCCTACGCTAGAAAAGGAAATATCTTCACATCAAAACTAGAGATAAATATTGTAAGAAACTACATTGTGAAAATTGTATTCAACTCACAGCGTTGAACTTCTGTCTTGATAGAGCCGTTTTGAAACACTCTTTTTGTAGAATCTGTAAGTGGTATTTGGATCTGTTTGTTTACTTCGTTTGAAACATGATTTCTTCTTATAAAACCAGACAGAAGAATTCTCCAAAACTTCTTTTTGATGTGTGCTTTCGTCTCACAGAGTTGAAACTTCCTTTCAATAGAGCAGTTTTGAAAATCTCTTTTTGTACAATTTCCAAGTGTTTAATTATTGCCGTTTGAGGCCTATGGGACAAAAGGCAATATCTTCATAGAAAAAATAGACAGAATGATTCTCAGAAACTACTTTGTGATGTGTTCGTTCAAGGCACAGAGTTTAACCTGTCTTTTGATAGAGCAGTTTTGAAATACTCTTTTTGTAGAATCTGCAAATGAATGTTTTGTCTTTTTTGAGGCCTTCGTTGGAAACGGGATTTCTTCATCTAAATCTTGACAGAACAATTCTCAGAAACTTCTCTGGGATTTGTGCATTCAACTCACATAGTTGAACCTTTCTTTCGTTAGAGCAGTTTTGAAATACTCTTTTGTAGATTTTCAAGTGGATAATTAGAGGGCTTTGAGGCCTATGTTAGAAAAAGCAATATCTTCATAGAAAAAGTAGACAGAATGATTCTCAGAAACTACTTTGAGATGTGTGCGTTCAACTCACAGAGTTTAACCTTATTTGTTGATAGATCAGATTTGAAAAACACTTTTTGCAGAATCTGCAAGTGAATATTTGGACTTTTTTGAGGTCCGCTTTTGAAAGGGGATTTCTTCATATAAAACCGACAGAAGAACTCTCAGAAACTTCCTAGTGATATCTCCATTGAACTCACAGAGTTGAACCTTCCTTTCGATAGAGCAGTTTTGAAATGCTCTTTTTATAGAATTTCCAAGAGGATATTTAGAGCGGTTTGAGACCAGTTGTAGAAAAGGAAATATCTTCATAGAAAAACTAGACAGAATCATTCTCAGAAACTACTTTGTGATGGGTGCATTCAGCTTACAGAGTTTAACCTTTTTTTTGATAGAGCAGTTTTGAAACACTCTTTTTGTGGAATTTCCAAGTGTATATTTAGAGTGCTTTGAGGCCTGCAGTACAAAGGCAATTATCTTCACATAAAAACCAGACAAAATCATTGTCAGAGACTACGAAGTGATATTTGCATTCAACTCACAGAGTTGAACATTCCTCTTGATTGAGCGGTTTTGAAACACTCTTTTTATAGAATCTGCGAGTGGATATTTGCACCTATTTGTGGCCTTAGTTTGAAACGTGTTTTCTTCATATAAAACTAGACAGAAGATTTCTCAGAATCTTCTTTGTGATGTGTGCTTTCAACTCACATAGTTGAACCTTCCTTTTGATAGAGCAGTTTTGAAACTCTCTTTTTGTAGTAATTCCAAGTGAATGTTTAGCGCTGTTTGAGGCCTATGGTAGAAAAGGCAATATCTTCATAGAAAAAGTTGACAGAATGATTCTCAGAAAGTACCTTCCAATGTGTGTGTTCAAGACACAAAGTTTAACTTTTCTTTTGATATAGAAGTTTTGAATCTCTCTTTTTGTAGAATCTGCAATGAAAAATTTGACTTTTGGGGGGCCTTCGTTGGAATCGGCTTTTCTTCATATAAAACGTGACAGAAGAATTCTCAGAAATTACTTTGTGATGTGTGCATTCAACTCACAGGGTTGAATCTTCTTTCGATAAAGCAGTTTTGACATACTCTTTTTGTAGAATTTCCAAACGAATATTTAGAGCGGTTTGAGACCTTTGTTATAAAAGGAAATATCTTCATAGAAAAACTACACAGAATCGTACTCAGAAACTCCTTTGTGATGTGTGCATTCAGCTTAAAGAGTTTTACCTTTCTTTTGAGAGAGCAGCTTTGAAACCCTCTTTTTGTGGAATTTCCTAGTGCATATTTTGAGCGCTGTGAGGCATGCAGTAGAAAAGGAAATATCTTCACATAACAACTAGATAGAATTATTGTCAGAAATTACATTGTGATATTTGCATTCAACTCACAGAGTTGAACATTTCTCTTGATAGAGCAATTTTGAAACACTCTTTTTGAAGAATCTGCAAGTGGATGTTTGGACCTCTTAGTGGCCTTCGTTTGAAACATGATTTCTTCATATAAAACTAGACAGAAGAATTCTCAGAAGCTTCTTTGTGATGTGTGCATTCAACACACAGGGTTTAACCTTTCTTTTGATAGAGCAATTTTGAAACACTCTTTTTGTAGAATTTGCCAGTGAATACTTGGACTGTTTTGAGGCCATCGTTGGAAACGGGATTTCTTCATATAAAATTTGACAGAAGAATTCTCGGGAACTACTTTGAGATGTGTGCATTCAAGTCACAGAGTTGAACCTTCCTTTCAATAGAGCAGTTTTGAATTACTCTTTTTGTAGAATTTCCAAGTGAATATTTTGTGCGGTCTGTGGCCTGTGGTAGAAAAGGAAATATCTGCATAAAAAACCTAGACAGAATCATTGTCAGAAACTACTTTGTGATGTGTGCATTCATCTTTCAGAGTTTCACCTATCTTTTGATAGAGCAGCTCTGAAATACTCTTTGTGTGTAATTTGCAACTGTATATTTAGAGTGCTTTGAGGTCTACGGTAGAAAAGGAAATATCTTCCCATAAAAACTTGACAGAAGCATTGTCAGAAACTAATTTGTGATATTTGTATTCATCTCACAGAATTGACAATTCCTCTTGATAGAACAGTTTTGAAACACTCTTTTTGTAGAATCTGCAATTGGATATTTGGACCTCTTTGTGGCCTTCATTTGAAACGTGATTTCTTCATATAAAACTAGATAAAAGAATTCTCAGAAACTTCTTTGTGATGTGTGCTTTCAACTCACAGAGTTGAACCTACCTTTCGAAAGAGCAGTTTTGAAACTCTCTTTTTGTAGAATTTCCAAGTGGATATTTAGCGCCGTTTGACGCCTATGGTAGAAAAGGCAGTATGTTCATACAAAAACTAGACAGAATGATTCTCAGAAACTACTTTGTGATGTGTGTGTTCAACTCACAGAGTTTAACCTTTCTTTTGATTGAGTAGTTTTGAAACAATCTTTTGTAGAATCTGCAATGTATATTTGGACTTTTGTGAGGTCCTCGCTGGAAACGGGATTTCTTCATATAAAACTTGACAGAAGAATTCTCAGGAACTTCTTTGTGATGTGTGCATTCAACTCACAAAGTTGAAGCTTCCTTTCAATAGAACAGTTTTGAAATACTATTTTTGTAGAATTTCCAAGAGGATATTTAGAGCGATTTGACGCCTGTGGCAGAAAAGGAAATATCTTCAAAGAAAACCTAGACAGAATCATTCTCAGAAACTACTTTGTGATATGTACATTCAGCTTACAGAGTTTAACCTTTCTTTCGACAGAGCAGTTTTGAAACACTCTTCTTGTGGAATTTGCAAGGGTATATTTAGAGCGCTTTGAGGCCTACGGTAGAAAAGGAAATATCTTCACATAAAACCTAGACAGAAGCATTGTCAGAAACGACTTTGTGATATTTGCATTCAACTTACAGAGTTGAACATTCCTCTTGTTAGAGCAGTTTTGAAACACTGTTTTTGAAGTTTCTGCAAGTGGATATTTGGACCTGTTTGTGGCCTTCGTTTGAAACGTGATTTCTTCATATAAAACTAGACAGAAGAATTATCAGAAACTTCTTTGCAATGTGTGCTTTCAACTCATAGAGTTGAACCTTCTTTTCTATAGAGCAGTTTTGAAACTCTCTTTTTGTAGAATTTCCAAGTGGATATTTAACGCCGTTTGAGGCCTGTGGTTGAAAAGGAATTATATTCATAGAAAAACTAGACAGAATGATTTCCAGAAACTATATTCTGATGTGCGCATTCAACTCACAGAGCTGAAGCTACCTTTCGATAGAGCCGTTTTCATAAACTCTTTTTGGAGAATTTCCAATTGGATATTTAGAGGGTTTGAGGCCTATGGTAGAAAAGGAAATATCTTCACAGAAAAACTAGACAGAATGATTCTCAGAAACTACTTTGTGATGTGTGCATTCAACTCACTGAGTTTAAACTTTCTTTTGATAGAGCAGTTTTGAAACACTCTTTTTGTAGAATCTGCAGGTGAATATTTGGATTTTTGGATGTCTTCGTTGGAAACGGGATTTCATCATATAAAACCTGACAGAAGAACTCTCAGAAACTTCTTTGTGATGTGTGCATTCCACTCACAGAGTTGAACCTTCCTTTCGATAGAGCAGTTTTGAAATATTCTTTTTGTATAATTTCCAAGTGTATATTTAGGGCGGTTTGACGTCTGCGGTAGAAAAGGAAATACTTTCATAGAAAACCTAGACAGAATAATTCTCAGCAACTAGTTTGTGCTATGTGCATTCAGTTTATAGAGTTTAACTTTCTTTTGATAGAGCAGTTTTGAAACACTCTTTTTGTGGAATTTGCAAGAGTATATTAAGATCTCTTTGAGGCATACGGCAGAAAAAGCAATATCTTCACATGAAATCAAAACGGAAGCATAGTCAGAAACTACTTTGTGATATTTGCATTCAACAACTCACCGAGTTGAACATTCCTCTTGATAGAGCAGTTTTGAAACACTCTTTTTGTGGAGTCTGCAAGTGGATATTTGGACCTCTTTGGGGCCTTCGTTTTGAACGTGATTTCTTCATATGAATCTGGACAGAAGAATTCTCAGAAACTAGTTTGTGATGTGTGCATTCAAGTCACAGAGTTGTATCTACCTTTCGATAGAGCAGTTTTGAAACTCTCTTTTTGTAGAATTTCCAAGTGGATATTTAGAGCCGTTTGAGGCCTACGGTACGAAAGGCAATATCTTCAGAGAAAAATTAGACAGAATGATTCTCAGAAACAACTTTGTGATGTGTGCGTTCAACTCACAGAGTTTAACATTTCTTTTGATAAAGCAGTCTTGAAACACTCTTTTTGTATAATCTGCAGGTGAATATTTGGACTTTACTGAGGCCTTCGTTGGAAACGGGATTTTTTCATATAAAACCTGACAGAAGAATTCTCAGAAACTTCTTTGTGATGTGTGCATTCAGCTTACAGAATCGGAACTTCTTTTGATAGAGCAGTTTTGAAACCCTTTTTCTGTGGAAAATGCAAGCGTTTATTTAGAGCGCTTCTAGGCCTATTGTATAAAAGGAAATATCTTCACATAAAAACTAGACAGAAACGTTGTCAGAAACTACTTTGCGATATTTGCATTCAACTCACAGAGATGAACATTCCACTTGTTAGAGGAGTTTTGAGACACTCTTTTTGTAGAATCTGCAAGGGGATATTTAGTCCTCTTTGGAGCCTTCTTTTGAAACGTGATTTCTTCATATAAAACTAGACAGAAGAATTCTCAGAAACTTCTTTGTGATGTGTGCTTTCAAATCACTGAGTTGCACCTTCCTTTAGATAGAGGAGTTTTGAAACACTATTTTGTAGATTTTCCAAGTGGATATTTAGCCCTGTTTCAGTCCTATGGTAGAAAAGGCAATATTTTCAAAGAAAAAATAGGCAGAAAGATTCTCAGAAATTACTTTGTGATGTGTGCGTTTAACCCACAGGGTTTAACCTTTCTTTTGATAGACCCCTTTTGAAATAGTCTTTTTGTAGAATTTTCAAGTGTATATTTAGAGTGGCTTGAGGCCTGTGGTAGAAAAGGAAATATCTTCATAGAAAAAATAGAGAGAATGATTCTGAGAAACTACTTTGTGACGTGTGCGTTCAACTCACAGAGTTTAACATTTCGTTTGATAGAGCAGTTTTGAAACACTCTTTCTGTAGGTTCTGCAAGTGAATATTTGGACTTTCTTGAGGCCTTCGTTGGAAACATGTTTTCTTCATATAAATCTTGACAAAAGAAATCTCAGCATCTTCTTTGTGATGTGTGCATTCAACTCACATTGTTGAACCTTCCTTTCAATAGAGCAGTTTTGAAATATTATTTTTGTAGGATTTCCACGTGGATATTTAGAGCGGTTTGAGGCCTGTGGTAGAAAAGATAATATCTTCATAGGAAAACTAGACAGAACCATTCTCAGAAACTACTTTTTGATGTGTGCATTCAGCTTACAGAGTTTAACTTTTGTTTTGATAGAACAGATTTGTAACACTCTTGTTGTGGAATTTGAACTCTCTTTTTGTAGTGTTTCCAAGTGGATATTTAGCACGGTTTGTGGCCTATGGAAGAAAAGGCAATATCTTCATAGAAAAATGAGACACAATGATTTTCAGAAACTATTTTGTGATGTGTGCGTTCAACTCACAGAGTTTGAACTTTCTTTTGATAGAGCAGTTTTGAAACACTACTTTTGTGGAATTTGCAAGTGTATATTTAGAGTGCTTTGAGGCCTATTGTCGAAAAGGAAATATCTTCACATAAAAACTAGACAGAAGGATTGTCAGAAACTACATTGTGATATTTGCATTCAACCCACAGAGTTGAACATTGCTCTTGATAGAGCAGTTTTGAAACCCTCTTTTTGTAGAGTCTGCAATTGGATATTTGAACCTGTTTGAGGCCTTCGTTTTAAACGAGATTTCTTCATATCAACTAGACAGAAGAATTCTCAGAAACTTCTTTGTGATGTGTGGATTGAACTCATAGAGTTGAACCTTCCTTTCTATAGAGCAGTTTTAAAACTCTCTTTTTGTAGAATTTCCAAGTGGATATTTAGCGCCCTTTGAGGCCTAAGGTAGAAAAGGGAATATCTTCATAGAAAAACTAGACAGAAAGATTCTCAGAAACTACTTTTTGATGTGAGCGTTCAACTCACAGAGTTTAACCTTTCTTTTGATAGAGGAGTTTTGAAACACTCTTTTTGTAGAATCTGCAAGTGAATATTTGGACGTTATTGAGAACTACGTTGGAAATGGGATTTCTTCATATTAAAATTGACAGAAGAATTCTCAGAAACTTCTTTGCGATGTGTGCATTCAATTCACAGAGTTCAACCTATCTTTTGATAGAGCAGTTTTGAAATACTCTTTTTGTAGAATTTCCAAGTGGAGACTTAGAGCGGTTAGAGGCCTATGGTAGATATGGAAATATCTTCATAGAAAAACTAGACAGAATGATTCTCAGAAACCACATTGTGATGTTTGCATTCAGCTTACAGGGTTTAAGCTTTCTTTTGATAGAGCAGTTGTGAAACACTCTTTTTGGGGAATTTGCAAGAGTTTATTTAAAGCGCTTTGAGAACTGCGGTACAAAATTAAATATCTTCACATGAAAACTATACAGATGCATTGTCAGAAACTACTTTTTGATATTTGCATTCAACTCACCGAGTTGAACATTCCACTTGATAGAGCAGTTTTTAAACACTCTTTTTGTGGAATCTGCAAGTGGATACTTACACCTCTTTGTGGCATTCTTTTGAAAGGTGATTTCTCCATATAAAACTAGACAGAAGAATTCTCAGAAACTTCTTTGTTATGTGTGATTTCAACTCACAGAATTGAAACTTCCTTACAATAGAAGGAGTTTTGAAAGTCTCTTTTTGTAGAATTTCCAACTGGATATTTAGCGCTGTTTCAGGCTAATGGTAGAAAAGGCAATATCGTCATAGAAAAAGTAGACAGAATGATTCTCAGAAACTGCTTTGTGAAGTGTTCGTTCAGCTTACAAAGTTTAACCTTTCTTTTGATAGAGCAGTTTTGAAACAGTCTTTTGTGGTATTTGCAAGTGTATATTTAAAGCTTTTTGAGACCTATGGTAGAAAAGGAAATATCTTCACATAAAAACTAGACAGAAAGTTTGTCAGAAACTATTTTGTGATATATGCATTCAACTCACAGAGTTGTACATTCTTCTTGATAGAGCAGTTTTGAAACACTCTCTTTGCAGAATCCGCAAGTGGATATTTGGAACTCCTTGTGGTCTTCGTTTGAAACGTGATTTCTTCATATAAAACGTGACAGAAAAATTCTCAGAAACTTCTTTGTGTTGTGTGTATTCAACTCACAGAGTTGAACCTTCATTTCGATAGAGCAGTTTTGAAATCCTCTTTTTGTAGAATTTCCAAGTATATATTTACAGGGATTTGAGCCCTTTGGTAGAAAAGGAAATATCTATCTTCATAGAAAAACTAATCAGAATCATTCCCAGAAACTACTTTGTGATGTGTGCATTCAGCTTACAGAGTTTAACCTTTCTTTTGACAGAGCAGTTTTGAAACACACTTTTTGTGCAATTTGTAAGTGTATATTTACAGCGCTTTGAGGCCTACGGTAGAAAAGGAAATATCTTCACATATAAACTGGACAGAAGAATTGTCATAAACTACTTTGTGATATTTGCATTGAATTCACAGAGTTGAACATTACTCTTCATAGAGCAGTTTGCAAACACTCTTTTTGTAGAATCTGCAAGTTTATTTTTGGACCTCTTTGTTTCCTTCGTTTGAAAAGAGATTTCTTCATATAAAACTAGACAGAAGAATTCTCAGAAACTTCTTTGAGATGTGTGCTTTGAACTCACGGAGTTGAAGTTTCATTTTGATAGAGCAGTTTTGAAACTCTCCTTTTCTAGAATTTCCAAGTGGATATTTAGCGCCGTTTGAGGCTTATGGTTAGAAAAGGCAATATCTTCATAGAAAAACTAGACAGAATGATTCTCAGAAACTACTTTGTGATGTGGGCATTCAACTCACAGAGTTTAACCTTTCTTTTGATAGATCAGATCGGAAACACTCTTTTTGTAGAATCTGCAATTGGATATTTGGAATTTTTTTAGGGCTTCGTTGGAAACAGGATTTCTTCATATAAAACCTGACAGAAGAACTCTCAGAATCTTCTTTGTGATGTTTGCATTGAACTCACAGAGTTGAACATTCCTTTGGATAGAGCAGTTTTGAAATACTCTTTTTGTAGAATTTCCAAGTGGATATTTAGAGCAGTTTGAGGCCAGTTGTAGAAAAGGAAATATCTTCATAGAAGAACTAGACAGAATCATTCTCAGAAACTACTTTGTGATGTGTGCATTCAGCTTACAGAGTTTCACCTTTCTTTTGATAGAGCAGTTTTGAAACACTCTTTTTGTGGAATTTGAAAGTGTATTATTAGAATGCTTTGAGGCCTATGGTAGAAAAGGAAATATGTTCACATAAAAACTAGAGAGAAACATTGTCATAAACTACTTTGTGATATTTGCATTCAACTCACAGAGTTGAACATTCCTCTTGATAGAGCAGTTTTGAAAGAATCTTTTTGTACAATCTGCAAGTGAATATTTGGACTTTTTTGAGGCCTTCTTTGGAAACGGGATTTCTTCATAAAAAACCTGACAGAACTCTCAGAATCTTCTTTGTGATCTCTGCATTCAACTCACAGAGTTGAACTATCCTTCCGGTAGAACAGTGTTAGAAATTCTCTTATTGCTGAATCTCCATGTGGATATTTAGCGTCTTTTGAGGCCTATGGTAGAAAAGGCAATATCTTCATAGAAAACCTAGACGTAATGATTCTCAGAAACTACTTTGTGATGTGTGCGTTCAACTAACAGAGTTTAACTTTTCTTTTGATAGAGCAGTTAAGAAACACAGTTTTTGTTGTCTCTGCAAGTGAATATTTGGACTTTTGGGGGACTTCGTTGGAAATGGGATTTCTTCATATGAAACGTGAGAGAAGAATTCTCAGAAACTCCTTTGTGATGTGTGCATTCAACTCAAAGAGTTGAACCTTCCTTTCGATAGAGCAGTTTTGAAACACTCCTTTTGTGGAATTTGCAAGTGTATATTTAGAGCGCTTTGAGGCCTATGGTAGAAAAGTAAATATCTTCACATAAAAACCAGATAGAAGCATTGTCAGAAACTCCTTTGTGATGTGTGCATTCTACTCACAGAGTTGAACATTCCTTTCGATAGAGCAGTTTTGAAATACTCTTTTTGTAGAATTTCCAAGTGGATAATTAGAACGGTTTGAGGCCTATTGTGGAAAGGGAAATATCTTCATAGAAAACTAGACAGAATCATTCTCAGAAACTGCTTTCTGATATTTGCATTCAACTCACTGAGTTGAACATTCGTCTTGATAGAGCAGTTTTGAAACACTCTTGTTGTAGAATCTGCAACTGGATATTTGGACTTCTTTGTGGCCTTCGTTTGAAACTTGATTTCTTCGTATAAAACGTGGCAGAAGAATTCTCAGAAACTTCTTTGTGATGTGTGCATTCAACTCACGGTGTTGAACCATCCTTTCGATAGAGCAGTTTTGAAATACTCTTTTTGTAGATTTTCCAAGTGGAAATTTTGTGCCCTTTGAGGCCCTAGGTATTAAAGACAATATCTTCATAGAAAAATTAGACAGAATGATTCTCAGAAACTACTTTGTGATG
>NC_000003.12:90550202-90565295 GCF_000001405.40 Homo sapiens | reverse complement strand
TCCTTTTGATAGAGCAGATTTCAGACACTCTTTTTTGTAGAATTTCCAAGTGAATATTTAGAGGGCTTTAAATCCTATGGTAGAAATGAAATATTTCATATAAAAACTAGACAGAATCATTCCCAGAAACTACTTTGTGATGTATGCATTCAACTCACAGATTTGAACCTTCCTTTTGATGGAGCAGATTTGAAACACTCTTTTTGTTGAATTTCCACGTGGATATTTAGAGCGCTTTGAATCCTATGGTAGAAAAGGAAATATCTTCATATAAATACTAGAAATAATCATTCCCAGTAACTACTTTGTGATGTGTGCATTCAACTCAAAGAGTTTAACCTTTCTTTTGATAGAGCAGTTTTGAAACACCCTGTTTGTAATCTCTGCATCTGGATATTTGGAGCGCTTTGAGGGTTTCTTTGGAAACGGGAATATCTTCACATAAAAAGTAGACAGAAGTATTCTCAGAAACTTCTTTGTTATGTCTGTACTCAACTCACAGAAGTGAAACCTCCTTTTGATAGAGAAGTTTTGAAACACTCTTTTTGTAGAGTTTGCAAGTGGATATTTAGAGCGCTTTGGGGCCTATGGTAGAAAAGGAAATATCTTCACAGAAAAACTAGACAGAAGCATTCTCAGAAACTACTTTGTGATGTTTGCCTTCAACACACAGAGTTGAACATTCCTTTTGATAGAGCAGTTTGTAACACTCTTTTTGTAGAATCTGAAATTGGATATTTGGACCTCTTTGTGGTCTTCGTTGGAAATGGGATTTCTTCATATGAAACGTGAGAGAAGAATTCTCAGAAACTCCTTTGTGATGTGTGCATTCAACTCAAAGAGTTGAACCTTCCTTTCGATAGAGCAGTTTTGAAACACTCCTTTTGTGGAATTTGCAAGTGTATATTTAGAGCGCTTTGAGGCCTATGGTAGAAAAGTAAATATCTTCACATAAAAACCAGATAGAAGCATTGTCAGAAACTCCTTTGTGATGTGTGCATTCTACTCACAGAGTTGAACATTCCTTTCGATAGAGCAGTTTTGAAATACTCTTTTTGTAGAATTTCCAAGTGGATAATTAGAACGGTTTGAGGCCTATTGTGGAAAGGGAAATATCTTCATAGAAAACTAGACAGAATCATTCTCAGAAACTGCTTTCTGATATTTGCATTCAACTCACTGAGTTGAACATTCGTCTTGATAGAGCAGTTTTGAAACACTCTTGTTGTAGAATCTGCAACTGGATATTTGGACTTCTTTGTGGCCTTCGTTTGAAACTTGATTTCTTCGTATAAAACGTGGCAGAAGAATTCTCAGAAACTTCTTTGTGATGTGTGCATTCAACTCACGGTGTTGAACCATCCTTTCGATAGAGCAGTTTTGAAATACTCTTTTTGTAGAATTTCCAAGTGGAAATTTTGTGCCCTTTGAGGCCTAAGGTATTAAAGACAATATCTTCATAGAAAAATTAGACAGAATGATTCTCAGAAACTACTTTGTGATGTGTGCATTCAGATTACAGAGTCTAACCATTCTTTTGATAGAGCAGTTTTGAAACACTCTTTATGAAAAATCTGCAAGTGGATATTTGGACCTCTTTGTGGCCTTCGTTTGAAACGTGATTTCTTCATATAAAACTAGACAGAAGAATTCTCAGAAACTTCTTTGTGATGTGTGCTTTCAACTCACACAGTTGAATCTTCCTTTCCATAGAGTAGTTTTGAAACACTCTTTTTGTAGAATTTCCAAGTGGATATTTAGCGCCATTTGAGGCATATGGTACAAAAGGAAATATCTTCATAGAAAAACTAGGTAGAATGATTCTCAGAAACTACTTTGCGAAGTGTGCGTTCAACTCGCAGATTTTGACCTTTGTTTTGATAGAGCACTTTTGAAACACTCTTTTTGTAGAATCTGCAAGTG
Organism: Homo sapiens; assembly: GCF_000001405.40. NCBI lineage: Eukaryota > Metazoa > Chordata > Mammalia > Primates > Hominidae > Homo > Homo sapiens. The sequence continues at coordinate 90,563,372 of NC_000003.12, read as the reverse complement.
AATATTTGGGCTTCTTTGAGGCCTTCGTTGGAAACGGGATTTCTTCATATAAAACTTCACAGAAGATTTCTCAGAAATTTTTTGAAGTGTGCTTTTAACTCCCAGAGGTGAAACTTCCTTTCGATAGAGCAGTTTTAACACTCTCTTTTTGTAGAAATTCAAAGTGGATACTTAGAGCGGTTTCAGGCGTAAGGTAGAATAGGAAATATGTTCATAGAAAAACTAGACAGAATTATTCTCAGAAACTACTTTGTGATGTGTGCATTCAGCTTACAGAGTTTAACCTTTCTTTTGAGAGAGCAGTTTTGAAACACTCTTTTTTTAGAATCCGCAAGTGAATATTTGGACTTTTTTGAGGCCTATGTTGGAAACGGGATTTCTTCATATAAAAGTTGACAGAAGAATTCTCAGAAACTTCTATGTGATGTGTGCATTCAAGTCCCAGAATTGAACCTTCCTTTCAATAGAGCAGTTTTGAAATACACTTTTTGCAGAATTTCCAAGTGGATATTTAGAGCGGTTTGAGGCCTGTTGTAGAAAAGGAAATATCTTCATAGAAAAACTAGACAGAACCATTATCAGAAACTATTTTGTGATGTGTGCATTCAGTTTACATAGTTTAGCCTCTCTTTTGATAGAGCAGTTTTGAAACACTGTTTTTGTGGAATTTGCAAGTGTATATTTAGAGTGCTGCGAGACCTACGGTAGAAAAGGAAATATCTTCACAGAAAAACTAGACAGAAGCATTCTCAGAAACTCCTTTGTATTGTTTGCATTCAACTCACAGAGGTGAGCATTCCTCTTGATACAGCAGTTTTTAAACACAATTTTTGTACTATCTGCAAGTGGATATTTGGACCTCTTTGAGGCCTTCGTTGGAAAAGGTATTTCTTCATATAAACAAGACAGTAGAATTCTCGGAAATTACTTTGTGGTGTCTGCATTCATCTCACAGAGTTGAACCTTCCTATCGGTAGAGCAGTTTTGAAATACTCTTTATGTAGAATTTCCAAGTGGAGATTTAGAGCGGTTTGAGGCCTATCGTAGAAAAGGAAATCTCTTCATAGAAAAACTAGACAGAATCATTCTCAGAAACTATTTTGTCATGTGTGCATTCACCTTACAGAGTTTAACCTTTCTTTTGATAGAGCTCTTTTGTAGAATTTGCAAATGTGTGTTTAGAGCGCTTTGAGACCTATGGTAGAAAAAGAAATATCTTCTCATAAATACTAGATAGAAGCATTCTCAGAAACTGCTTTGTGATGTTTGCATTCAACTCACAGAGTTGAACACTCCTCTTTATAAAGCAGTTTTGAAACACCCTTTTTGGAGAATCTGGAAGTGGATATTTGGACCTCTTTGAGGCATTCATTGGAACGGGATTTCTTCATATAAAACTAGACAGAAGAATTCTGAGGAAATTCTTTGTGATGTGTGCATTCAACTCACCGAGTTAAACTTTCCTTTTGATAGAGCAGTTTCGAAACACTTTTTGAATTATTTCTAAGTGGATATTTAGAGAGGTTTGAATCGCATGGTAGAAAAGGAAATATCTTCATATAAAAAGTGGACAGAATCATTCCCAGAAACTACTTTGTGATGTGTTCGTTCAAATCACGGAGTTTAAACTTTCTTTTGATAGAGCAGTTTTGAAACACTCTGTAAAGTCTGCATCTGGATAATTGGAGCGCTTTGAGGTTTTCTTTGGAAATGGGTATATCTTCACATAAGAAGTACACAGAAGTATTCTCAGAAACTTCTTTGTGATGTCTGTACTCAACTCACAGCGGTGAACTTTACTTTTGGTAGAGCAGTTTTGAAACACTCTTTTTGAGAATTTGCAAGTGGATATTGAGAGCGCTTTGAGGCCTATGGTAGAAAAGGAAATATCTTCACATAAAAACTAGACAGAAGCATTCTCAGAAACCACTTTTTGATGTTTGCATTCAACTCACAGAGTTGAACATTCCTTTTGATAGAGCAGTTTTGTAACACTCTTTTTGTAGAATCTGCAAGTGGTTATTTGGACCTCTTTGAGGCCTTCGTTTGAACCTGGTATTTCTTCTTAAAAAAAAACAGAGAGAAGAATTCTCAGAAGCTTCTTTGTGATGTGTGCATTCAACTCACGGAGTTGAACGACCTTTCAATAGAGTAGTTTTGAAACACTCTTTTTGTAGAATTTCCAAGTGGATATTTAGGGTGCTTAGAGGCCTATGGTAGAAAACGATATACTTTAATATAAAAACCAGACAGAATCATCCTCAGAAACTACTTTGTGATGTGTGTATTCAACACACTGAGTTTAAATTTTCTTTTGATAGAGCAGTTTTGAAACAGACTTTTTGTAGAATTTGCAAGTGTGAATTTAGAGTGCTTTGAGAACTATGGTAGAAAAGAAATATCTTCACATAAATACTACAGAGAAGCATTGTCAGAAACTACTTTGTGTTGTTTGCATTCAACTCACAGAGTTGAACATTCCTCTTGATAGAGCAGTTTTGAAACACTCTTTTTGAAGAATCTGAAGGAGGATACTTGGACCTCATTGAGGCCTTCTTTGGAATCGGATTTTCTTCATATAAAAATAGTCTGAAGAATTCTCAGAAACTTCTTTTTGATGTGTACATTCAACTCACATATTTGAACCTTCCTTTGATAGAGCATATTTGAAACACTCTTTTTGTAGAATTTCAAAGTGGATATTTAGAACGCTTTGAATCCTATATTAGAAAAGGAAATACCTTCATATAAAAACTAGTCAGAAGAATTCCCCGAAACATCTTTTTGATGTGTGCATTCAACTCACATAGTTGAACCTCCTTTTTCATAGATCAGATTTGAAACTCTCTTTTTGTAGTATTTCCAAGTGGATATTTAGAGCGCCTTGAATCCTAAGGGAGAAAAGGAAATATCTTCATATAAAAACTAGAGAGAATCATTCCCAGAAACTAATTTGTGATGTGTGCGTTCAACTTACAGAGTTTAACCTTTCTTTTGACAGAGCAGTTTGGAAACACTCTGTTTTTAAAGTCTGGAACTGGATATTTGGAGCGCATTGAGGTTTTCTTTGGAAACGGGGATATCTTCACATAAAAAGTAGACAGATGTACTCTTAGAAACATTTTGCGATGTCTGTATTCAACTCACAAAGGTGAACATTCCTTTTGACAGAGCAGTTTTGAAACATTCTTTGTAGAGTTTGCAAGAGGATATTTAGAGCGATATGACGCCTATTGTGGAAAAGGAAATATCTTCACATAAAAACTAGACAGAAGCATTCTCAGAAACTACATTGCGATGTTTGCATTCAACTCACGAATTTGAACATTCCTCTTTATTGAGCATTCTTGAAACACTCTTTTAGTGGGATTTGCAAGTGTATATTTGGATCTCTTTGAGGCCTTCCTTGGAAAAGGGATTTCTTCATATAAATTAGACAGAGGACTTCTCAGAAACTTCTCTGTGATGTTTGCATTCAACTCACAGTGTTGAAACTTCCTTTTGATAGAGCAGATTTCAGACACTCTTTTTGTAGAATTTCCAAGTGAATATTTAGAGGGCTTTAAATCCTATGGTAGAAAATGAAATACCTTCATATAAAAACTAGACAGAATCATTCCCAGAAACTACTTTGTGATGTATGCATTCAACTCACAGATTTGAACCTTCCTTTTGATGGAGCAGATTTGAAACACTCTTTTTGTTGAATTTCCACGTGGATATTTAGAGCGCTTTGAATCCTATGGTAGAAAAGGAAATATCTTCATATAAATACTAGAAATAATCATTCCCAGTAACTACTTTGTGATGTGTGCATTCAACTCAAAGAGTTTAACCTTTCTTTTGATAGAGCAGTTTTGAAACACCCTGTTTGTAATCTCTGCATCTGGATATTTGGAGCGCTTTGAGGGTTTCTTTGGAAACGGGAATATCTTCACATAAAAAGTAGACAGAAGTATTCTCAGAAACTTCTTTGTTATGTCTGTACTCAACTCACAGAAGTGAAACCTCCTTTTGATAGAGAAGTTTTGAAACACTCTTTTTGTAGAGTTTGCAAGTGGATATTTAGAGCGCTTTGGGGCCTATGGTAGAAAAGGAAATATCTTCACAGAAAAACTAGACAGAAGCATTCTCAGAAACTACTTTGTGATGTTTGCCTTCAACACACAGAGTTGAACATTCCTTTTGATAGAGCAGTTTGTAACACTCTTTTTGTAGAATCTGAAATTGGATATTTGGACCTCTTTGTGGTCTTCGTTGGAAACGTGATTTCTTCATATAAAACTAGACAGAAGAATTCTCAGAAGCTTCTTTGTGATGTGTGCATTCAACTCACAGAGTTGAACGTTCCTTTCAATAGAGCAGTTTTGAAACACTCTTTTTGTAGAATATCCAAGTGGATATTTAGGGCTTTTAGGCCTATATTTTAGGCCTATATTATATTATAGGCTTTTAGGCCTATAGTATAAAAGGTAATATCATCATATAAGCACTTGACATAATCATAATCAGAAAGTACTTTATGATGTGTGCATTCAACTCACTGAGTATAAACTTTCTTTTGATAGAGCAGTTTTGAAACACTCTTTTTGTTGAATTTGCAAGTGTGTATTTAGAGCACTTTGAGGCCTATGGTAGAAAACGATATATCTTCACATAAAAAGTACACAGAAGCATTCTCAGATAGAGCAGTTTTGAAACACTCTTTTTGTAGAGTTTGCAAGTGGATATTTAGAGTGCTTTGAGGCCTATTGTAGGAAAGAATATATCTTCATATAAAAACTAGACAGAAGCATTCTCAGAAACTACTTTGTGATGTTTGCATTCAACTCACGGAGTTGAACTTTCCTCTTGATAGAGCAGTTTTGAAACACTCTTTTTGTAGAATCTGACGGTGGATATTTGAACCTCTTTGAGGCCTTCATTGGAAATGGGATTTCTTCATTTAAAACTAGACAGAAGAATTCTCAGAAACTTCTTTGTGAAGTGTGCGTTCAACTCACAGAGTTAATCCTTCTTTTGATAGATCAGATTTGAAACACTGTTTTTGCAGTATTTCCAAGTGGATATTTAGAGTGCTTTGAAACCTATGGTTGAAAAGGTTATATCTTCATAGAAACTGGACAGAATCTTTCCTAGTAACTACTTTGTGATGTGAGCGTTCAACTCACAGAGTTTAACCTTTCTTTTGATAGAACAGTTTTATATTTATTTATTTATGCATTTTTTATTATTATACTTTAAGTTTTAAGGTACATGTGCACATTGTGCATGTTAGTTACATATCTATACATGTGTCATGCTGGTGTGCTGCACTCACTAGCTCATCATCTAGCATTAGGTATATCTCCCAATGCTATCCCTCCCCCCTTGCCCCACCCCACAACAGTCCCCAGAGTGTGAAGTTCCCCTTCCTGTGTCCATGTGATCTCATTGTTCAATTCCCACCTATGAGTGAGAATATGTGGTGTTTGGTTTTTTGTTCTTGTGATAGTTTACTGAGAATGATGGTTTCCAATTTCATCCATGTCCCTACAAAGGACATGAATGAATCATTTTTTGTGGCTGCTTAGTATTCCAGGGTGTACATGTGCCACATTTTCTTAATCCAGTATATCATTGTTGGACATTTGGGTTGGTTCCAAGTCTTTGCTCTTGTGAATAATGCCACAATAAACATACGTGTGCATGTGTCTTTATAGCAGCATGATTTATAGTCCTTTGGGTATATACCCAGTAATGGGATGGCTGAGTCAAATGGTATTTCTAGTTCTAAATCCCTGAGGAATCGCCACACTGACTTCCACAATGGTTGAACTAGTTTACAGTCCCACCAACAGTGTAAACATGTTCCTATTTCTCCACATCCTCTCCAGCATCTGTTGTTTCCTGACTTTTTAATGATTGCCATTCTAACTGGTGTGAGATGGTATCTCATTGTGGTTTTGATTTACATTTCTCTGATGGCCAGTGATGGTGAGCATTTTTTCCTGTGTTTTTCGGCTGCATGAATGTCTTCTTTTGAGAAGTGTCTGTTCATGTCCTTCACCCACCTTTTGACGAGGTTGTTTGTTTTTTTTCTTGTACATTTGTTTGAGTTCAGTGTAGATTCTTGATATTAACCTTTTGTCAGATGAGTATGTTGCGAAAATTTTCTCCCATTTTGTAGGTTGCCTGTTCACTCTGATGGTAGTTTCTTTTGCTGTGCAAAAGAGCCCGCATCACCAACTCAATCCTAAGCCAAAAGAACAAAGCTGGAGGCATCACACTACCTGACTTCAAACTATACTAAAAGGCTGCAGTAACCAAAACAGCATGGTACTGGTACCAAAACAGAGATATAGATCAATGGAACAGAACAGAGCCCTCAGAAATAATGCCACATATCTACAACTATCTGATCTTTGACAAACCTGAGAAAAACAAGCAATGGGGAAAGGATTCCCTATTTAATAAATGGTGCTGGGAAAACTGGCTAGCCATATGTAGAAAGCTGAAACTGGATCCGTTCCTTACACCTTATACAAAAATCAATTCAAGACGGATTAAAGACTTAAACGTTAGACCTAAAACCATAAAAACCCTAGAAGAAAACCTAGGCATTACCATTCAGGATATAGGCAAGGACAAGGACTTCATGTCTAAAACACCAAAAGTAATGGCAACAAAAGACAAAATTGACAAATGGGATCTAATTAAACTAAAGATAGAGCAGTTTTGAAACACTCTCTTTGTAAAGTCTGCATCTGGATACTTGGAGCTGTTTGAAGTGTTCTTTGGAAATGGGAATATCGTCACATAAATAGTAGATAGAAGTATTCTCAGAATTTTCTTTGTGATGTCTGTACTCAACTCACAGAGTTGAATCTTCCTTTTGATAGAGCAGATTTGAAACACACTTTTTGTAGGGTTTGCTAGTGGATGTTTTGAGCTCTTTGAGGCCTATGGTAGAAAAGGAAATATCTTCGTAGAAAAACTACACAGAAGCATTCTCAGAAACTACATTGTGATACTTGCTTCCAACTCACTGAATTGAACATTACTCTTGATAGAGCAGTTTTGAAATACTCTTTTTGTAGAATCTGCAAGTTGATATTTGGACTTCTTTGAGGCCTTCGCTGGAAACAGGATTTCTTCACATAAAACTAGACACAAGAATTCTCAGAAACTTCTTTGTGATGTGTGCATTCAACTCACAGTGTTGAATCTTCCTTTAATAGAACAGATTTAAAACACTCTTTTTGCAGAGTTTCCAAGTGGATATTTAGAGCGCTTTGAACCATATGGTAGAAAAAATTATCTTCATATAAATCTAGACAGAATAACTCCTAGAAACTACTTTGTGATGTGTGTGTTCACATCACAGAGTTTAACCTTTCTTTTGATGGAGCAGTTTTGAAACACTCTGTTTGTAAACTGTGCATCTGGATATTTGGAGCACTTTGAAGTTTTCTTTGGAAACGGGAATATCTGCACATAAAAAGTGGACAGAAGTATTCTCAGAAAATTCTTTGTGATGTCTGTACTCAACTCACAGAGGTGAACCTTCATTTGATAGTGCAGTTTTGTAACACCCTTTTGTAGTGTTTGCAAGTGGATATTTAGATCACTTCGAGGCCTACGGTAGAAAAGGAAATATCTTCACATAAAAACTAGACAGAAGCATTCTCAGAAACTGCTTTGTGATGTTTGCATTCACCTCGCGGAGTTGAACATTCCTCTTGATAGAGCAGTTTTGAAACACTCTTTTTGTAGTTTCTGCAAGTGTATGTTTGGAACTCTTTGAGGCCTTCAGTGGAAACAGGATTTCTTCGTATAAAACTAGACAGAAGAATTCTCAGAAAATTCTTTGGGATGTGTGGATTCAACTCTCAGAGTGCAACCTTCCTTTTGATAGAGCAGATTTGAAACACTCTTTTTGTAGAATTTCCAAGTGGATGTTTAGAGCGCTTTGAATCCTATGGTAGAAAAGGAAATATCTTCATATAAAAACTTGACAGAAGCATTGTCAGAATCTACTTTGTGATATTTGCATTCAACTCACAGAGTTGAACGTTCCTCTTGATGGAGCAGTTTTGAAACACTCTTTTTTGTTGAATGTGCCAATTAATATTTTTACATATTTGAGGCCTTTGTTGGAAACGGGTTTTCTTCTTTTAAAACTTGACAGAAGAATTCTCAGAAAGTTCTTTCTGATGTGTGCATTGAACTCACAGAGTTAAAACTTCCTTTCGATAGAGCAGTTTTAAAATACTCTTTTTGTAGAATTTCCAAGTGTATATTTAGAGCGGTTTGAGGCCTATGGCAGAAAATTAAATATCTTCATAGAAAAACTAGACAGAATCATTCTCAGAAACTACTTTGTGATGTTTGCATTAAGCTTACAGAGTTTAACCTTTCTTATGATAGAGCAGTTTTGAAACACTCTTTTTGTAATATCTGCAGGTGTATATTTGGACCTCTTTGGGGCCTTCGTTTGAAACGTGATTTCTTCATATAAAACTAGACAGAAGAATTCTCAGAAACTTCTTTGTGATGTGTGCTTTCAACTCACATATTTTAACATTCCTTTCGATAAAGCAGTTTTGAAGCTCTCTTTTTGTAGAATTTCCAAGTGGATATTTAGCGCCGTTTGAGGTCTATGGTAGAAAAGGCAATATCTTCATAGAAGAACTAGACAGAATGATTCTCAGAAACTGCTTTGTGATGTGTGCATTCAACTCACTGAGTTCAAACTTTCTTTTGATAGGGCAGTTTTGAAACACACTTTTTGGAGGATCTGCAAGTGAATATTTGGACATTTTTGTGGCCTTCTTTGGAAAAGGGATTTTGTCATATAAAACTTTGCCAAAGAATTCTCAGAAACTTCTTTGTGATGAGTGCATTCATCTCACAGAGTTTAACCTTCCTTTCCATAGAGCAGTTTTGATATACTCTTTTTGTAGAATTTCAAATGCATATTTAGAGCGGTTTCAGGCTTGTGGTTGAAAAGGAAATATCTTCATAGAAAAATTAGACAGAATCATTCTCAGAAACTGCTTTGTGATGTCTGCATTCGGCTTACAGAGTTTAACTTTCTTTTGATACAGCAGTTTTCAAACACTCTTTCTGTGGAATTTGCAAGTGTATATTTAGAGCGCTTTGAGGCCTGTGGTAGAAAAGGAAATATCTTCACATAAAAACCAGAAAGAAGCATTGTCAGAAACTAATTTGTGATATTTGCATTCAACTTACAGAGCTGGACATTCCTCTTCATAGAGCAATTTTGAAACACTCTTTTTGTAGAATTTCCAAGTGGATATTTAGCGCCGTTTGAAGCCAATGGTAGAAAAGGCATTATCATCATAGAAAAATTAGACAGAATGATTATCGGAAACTACCTTGTGATGTTTGTGTTCAACTCACGGAACATGCCTTTCGAAAGAGGAGTTTTGAAACTCTCTTTCTGTCGAATGTCCAAGTGGATATTTAGGGCTGTTTGAGGCCTATGGTTGAAAAGGTAATATCTTCTTAGGAAAACTTGACATAACGATTCTCAGAAACTACTTTGTGAAGTGTGCGTTCAACTCAAACAGTTTAAACTTTCTTTTGATAGAGCACTTTTGAAACAGTGTTTTTGTAGTATCTGCAAGTGAATATTTGGACTTTTAAGAGGCCTTCGTTGGAAACGGGGTTTCTTCACATAAAACTTGACAGAAGAATTCTCAGAACCTTCTTTGTGATATGTGCATTCAACTCACAGGTTTGAACCTTCCTTTCGATAGAGCAGTTTTGAAATACTCTTTTTGTAGAAATTCCAAGTGAATATTTAGAGCGGTTTGCGGCCTATTTTGGAGAAGGACATATCTTCGTAGAAAAACAAGACAGAATCCTTCTCAGAAACTACTTTGTCCCGTGTGCATTCAGCTTACTGTGTTTAACCTTTCTTTTGATTGTGCAGTTTTGAAACACTCTTTTTGTGGAATTTTGCAAGTGTATATTTAGAGTGCTCGGCAGCCTACGTTAGAAAAGGAAATATCTTCACCTAAAACCTAGACAGAAACATTGTCAGAAACTTCTTTGTGACATTTGCATTGAACTCACAGAGTTGAACGTTCCTCTTGATAAAGCAGTTTTGAAACACTATTTTTGTAGAATCTGCACGTGCATATTTGGACCTCTTTGTGACCTTCGTTTGAAACGTGGTTTCTTCATATAAAACTAAACAGAAGAATTCTCAGAAACATCTTTGTGATGTGTGCTTTCAACTCACAGTGTTGAACCTTCCTTTCGGTAGAGCAGTTTGTAAACGCTCTTTTTGTACAATTTCCAAGTGGATATATAGTGCCGTTTGAGGCCTATGGTAGAAAAGGCAATATCTTCATAGAAAAACTAGACAGAATGATTGTCAGAAACTACTTTAAGATGTGTGCATTCATCTCACAGTGTTAAACTTTCTTTTTATAGAATAGTTTTGAAACACTCTTTTTGGAGAATCTGCAAGTGAATATTTGGAATTTTTGTGGCGTTCGTTGGTAAAGGGATTTCTTCAAATAAAACTTAACAGAAGAATTCTCAGAGACTACTTTGTGATGTGGGCATTCAACTCACAGAGTTGAACCTTCCCTTCGAGAGAGAAGTTTTGAAATACTCTTTCTGTAGAATTTCCAAGTAGATATTTAGAGCGCTTTGAGGCTTGTGATAGGAAAGGAAATATCTTCATAGGAAATATCTTCATAGGAAAACGAGACAGAATCATTCTCAGAAACTACTTTGTGATGTGTGCATTCAGCTTACAGAGTTTAACCTTTCTTTTGATTGATAGAGCAGTTTTGAAACACTCTTTTTGTGGATTTTGGAAGTGTTTATTTAGAGCCCTTTGAGGCCTATGGTAGAAAAGGATATATCTTCACGTAATAACCAGACAGAAGCATTGTCAGAAACTACTTTGGGATATTTGCATTCAACCCACAGAGTTGAAGATTTCTCTTGATAGAGCAGTTTTGAAACACTCTTTTTGTAGAATCTGCAAGTGGATATTTGAACCTCTTTGTGGCCTTCATTTCAAACCTGATTTCTTCATACAAAACTAGACAGAAGAACTCTCAGAAACTTCTTTGTGATGTGTGCTTTCAACTCATACAGTTGAACCTTTCTTTCGATAGAGCAGTTTTGAAACTCTTTTTGTAGTATTTCCAAGTGGATATTTAGCTCCATTTGAGGCCTATGCTAGAAAAGGAAATATCTTGTTAGAAAAAATAGACAGAATGATTCTGAGAAACTTCTTTGTGATGTGTGCTTACGACTCACAGAGTTTAAACTTTCTTTTGATAGAGCTTTTTTGAAACAGTCTTTTTGTAGAATCTGGAAGTGAATATTTGTACTTTTTGGAGGCCTTCTTTGGAAACGGGATTTCTTCACAGAAAACTTGAGAGAAGAACTCTCAGAAACTTCTTTGTGATCTGTGCATTCAATTCACAGAGGTCAACGTTCCTTTTGATAGAGCAGTTTTGAAATACTCTTTTTGTGGGATTTCCAAGTGGATATTTAGAGCCGTTTGGGGCCTGTGGTAGAGAAGGAATTATCTTCATAGAAAACCTAGACAGAATCATTCTCAGAAACTACTTTCTAATGTGTGCATGCAGCTTACAGACTTTAACCTTTCTTTTGATAGATCAGTTTTGTAACTCTCTTTTTGTGGACTTTGCAAGTGTATATTTAGAGCGCTTTGAGGCCTATGGTAGAAAAGGAAATATCTTCCCATTAAAACTAGACAGAAGCATAGTCAGAAACTACTTTGTGATATCTGCATTCAACTCACAGTGTTGAACATTTCTTTCGATAGAGCAGTTTTGATACTCTCTTTTTGTAGAATTTCCAGGTGGATATTTAGCGCCGTTTGAGGCCGATGGAATAAAAGGCAGTATCTTCATAGAAAAACTAGACAGAAAGATTCTCAGAAACTACTTTGTGATGTGTGCATTCAACTCACAGAGTTTAACCTTTCTTTTGATAGAGCAGTTTTTAAACACTCTTTTTGTAGAATCTGCAAGTGAATATTTGGATTTTTTAGAGGCCATTTTTGAAAATGGAGTTTCTTCATATAAAACTTGACAGAAGAATTATCAGAATCTACTTTGTGATGTGTGCTTTCAACTCACAGTGTTGAACCTTCCTTTCGATAGAGCGGTTCTGAAATACTCTTTTTGTAGAATTTCCAAGTGGCTATTTAGCGCCGTTTGAGGCCTACGGTAGAAAAGGAAATATCATCACATAAAAACAAGACAGAATGATACTCAGAAACTGCTTTGTGCTGTGTGCGTTCAACTCACAGTATTTAAACTTTCTTTTCATACGGCAGTTTTAAAACACTCTTTTTGCAGAATCTGCAATTGAATATTTACACTTTTATGAGGCGTTCGTTGGAAACGGCATTTCTTCATATAAAACTTGGCAGAAGAATTCTCAGAAACTTCTTTTTCATGTGTGCGTTCAACCCAGAGAGTTGAACCGTCCTTATGATAGAGCAGTTTTGGAATACTCTTTTTGTAGGATTTCCAAGTGGATATTTAGAGCGGATAGATGCCTATGGAAGAAAAGGAAATATCTTCATACAAAACCTAGACAGAATCATTCTCAGAAACTAATTAGTTATGTGTGCATTCAGCTTACAGAGTTTAACCTTTCCTGTGGTAGAGTAGTTTTGTAACACTATTTTTGTGGAATTTTCAAGTGTATATTTAGAGCGCTTTGAGGCCTACTGTAGAAAAGGAAATATCTTCACATTAAAACTAGACAGAAGCATTGTCAGAAACTACTTTGTGATATTGGCATTCAACTCACAGAGTTGAACCTTCCTCCTGATAGAGCAGTTTTGAAACACTATTTTTGTAGAATCTGCAAGTGGATATTTGGACTTCTTTGTGGCCTTCCTTTGAAAGGTGATTTCATCATATAAAACTGGACAGAAGAATTCTCAGAAACTTCTTTGTGATGTGTGATTTCAACTCTCAGAGTTGAACCTTTCTTTTGATAGAGCAGTTTGGAAACTCTCTTTTTGTAGGATTTCCAAGTGGATATTTAGTGCCATTTGAGGCCTATGGTAGAAAAGGCAATATCTTCATAGAAAAACCAGACAGAATGATTCTCAGAAACTACTTTGTGATGTGTGTATTCAACTCACAGAGTTTA